>NC_000009.12:62798832-62958371 GCF_000001405.40 Homo sapiens | reverse complement strand
GAATTCCTGTGGTGGCAGCAGCAGACAGTGCCTAGGAGAAACAAAACCCTCAGGCCAGGGCATCTTCCTCTCCAGTTGGTGCAGTAGTGATCCCAAGAGGGTGATGCAAACTTTTTAAAGTCTTTTCTCATTTTGCCACCTGTCGGCTCCAAACATGGGTGCAGCCATGAAACACTGTAGCAGAGTACCGTAATCAAAGACCCAGCATTCTGGCCAGAAAACAGAAAAGAGGAGCTCCAGGGAACCAGAAAATATTGGAGACATTGTGGAGAGGAAGGAGTATGAGAAAGTGACACCATAAAGTTTTTAATGAACTGAGCGCATCCCCAAGCTGCATGTGTGTGGATCGGCTCCTAATTAGTTAACCAAAGATTTTGAGAACGAAACTAGCAGATTATCATCCGACTTCCACACTGACCACCAGGACACATCTGAAGAAAACTGGAAAGGCTTTGAAAACTCAACTGATTGTTGGAACCACAGCTCACAAAACACAGATTGGAACTTGCAGCTTGAATATGACAAGGTCAATTGCTTCTAAAACAAAAACAGCATCCATCCGCCTAATATTTTGTGAGGACCCAGAGCCTCAAAACTGAATGTGCATGACACAATCCAAAATTACAAAAAAACAGATAAACTGCACCCCACATGAGAAAAGACAGTCAGTACTAAGTAGCTACCAATACTGAGAAGAAAAATAAATTTGAATTACATCACAAGGATTTTAAAGCAGCTTTTATAAAAATGTTCCAACAAGTGGTCGCAAGCACTTTTTTTTTTCCTTGGGACGGAGTCTCACACTGTCACCCAGGCAACAGTGCAGTGGCGCAATCTAGGCTCACTGCAACCTCGGCCTGCCGGGTTCAAACGATTCTCCTGCCTCAGCCTACCAATGAGCTGGAACTACAAGCATGCGCCACCACGTCCAGCTAATTTTTGTATTTTTAGTAGAGAAGGGGTTTCACCATGTTGGCCAGATGGTCTTGATCTCTTGACCTCATGATCTGCCCGCCTCGGCCTCCCAAAGTGTTGGGATTACAGGCGTGAGCCACCATGCCCGGTCACAAACACTTGTATACCAATGGAAAACTAGAAGTATCAGAAAATAAATAGAAGATGTAAAAAGGAACAAAATGAATATATTAGGACCAAAAAATCCAATAACTGACATACAAAATTCTAAGTAAGCTTTTTATTACAGTAAAACTAAAGAGGTAAGAATCTGTTATCGTGAATATAAATCAACAGGAATTATCTAATCTGAACAATAGAGAGAAAGAAAGATGAAAAAGTCTCGATTAGAGCCTTAGAGACTTGAGGAACAATAACTAAAGTTCCAACATACATGTCATCTGAGTCTCAGAAGGAGAAAATGAAAAGGAGCGCAGTGCTGAAAGAATTTTGAAAACCTAACAGGAAAAATTACCCAAATTTGGCAAAAGGCAAACATTAATTGAACTAAAAGAAGAAATCAACAAATGTACAATTATGATTAGATAATTCAACACTCCTCTCTCGCTAATAATTAGTGAACATTTGAAATTAATTGATGGTAAGTTTGATTAATTCTGAGATTTTTAGCAGTATTGTTTATCACATATAATTAACAGATCATTTCTGTATAGCAAACAAAAATGCATTCTGAGCCACATGTAATAGTTCATCACACAAAATGTTGAGTTAATGCCAGTCAGAATGTCTCTCTTCTTCCAGTACAGGGATTACAAAATAATGGCAAGACCTAAGGTCATGTATGCAGTGATTCACTAAGTACCTTAAATAATAGGACATGAGATTGCAAGCACAATGCAGTCACTATGAATGAGAAAATTATGTAAGAGCTCAAGTTCATGTGCTGAGGAGGCTTCTGAGAAGCCTTAAAGGATATCTGGCCAATTCAGCTGTTACTGGGTTAGACTATTAATTGTCTTATTGCCTTAACTCTCATCAAAAAAAGACTGCTCTGCAGGCTTTTTTTTTACTGTGGGCAAGTGATTAACAACACCCCAGCTAGAAAATTCTTCCTGATGTCTGTCCTGAGTCTCTCCTGATCTAACAAGCAAGGGTATACAAGAACTTATCAACTCCATCATCAATTACAAAAAAAATTAAGTTGTCATAAGCATAGTATACGATTTAAGGATTTACTAAAATGCAATGGTAGTCAAGCTATCAGAGGATGGAGGAACCTCCGTTTCACCATCTGGTTGTTCCTCTTTGTTCCCTTTAGGTGAGTCTGAGCCAAAAGACCCAACACTAATCACAATGCTTTGTCCATTTCAGTAGGCATAATTCCTTACAACAACAAATAAAATAATCCCTAAGCATTTATTTCATAAAATAAATGTATTAGATATTTTGGCCTCACAAAAATAAGAGATAGAGTCTACTCAAAACAGTGTTTTGTTTATCATTTTCATAAATTTCAAATTAGAATGTAAAGTTTATCATATCTCTTCCATTTGTTAGGATAGTGTTAGTAACATTTATAAAATCATTTTCTTTCTCCTGTATTTATTTGACATAAAATGTGTCATTCTCTGAGAATATAAGATGAAATCATTCCACAGAAGAATTACTTATATGCAGAGTTATTTATGTGTAATAGTACTCCATAAATTCCCTTTGAGGGCCTTGTTCCATTCAGCAAGAAGAATGTCTTGATGGTAGACAAAATTGTACGTAAGTTAAAAGTATGAAATTTGAATCAAGCTCTGCCATTGAATTGTCACGTGAACCTGGAACAACATAACCTCTCCCTGTCTTAGTTTCTCTATTTATATAATGGTAAGTATAATAAAACTATACTTCAAGGGCTTTTGCAAGCACTATATGAACCAATAGATCTAACACATTTAGAACGGTAACTTGATATTTTAGGCACCTTGTAAGTTATTGTTATTATCTGCAATTGTATCTACCCAAAAGCTAGAATCCCTCTTCTTGGCCCCCACATTCCTATGACATGTCTATAAATATCTTGTAAATATATTTATTCATTTTATGCATGCATTTACTTGTATTCTGAATGCCTTTACATGTGCCAGGCATTGTCTAGGTGTTGGAGAAACTAAGACTGATTCAAAGGAGATATTTACTTGAAAGAAATAGCTGTAATGGTTATAATTTGCAGACAGGGAGAACCCTGTGAAAAAGAAAGTAATTAGAAAACTTCATTTTGAATATAAAGAGAAAAAACTTTTCTGAGTTCATAAAAGAATTCTTGATATCATCAACAATAAAGAGCATATGCTAATATTTATATTTCCTAACTATTCTACATACCTATATTTATATAGATTTCAGCTAACAATTGGGCTTTGGTTCTACTATGACATTTTGCTAAAAGCATTGATTATATAAGTTTGTGTTATATACAGTGTTTGCATGAGATAAAACTTTAAGACAAAAATATCTGCTCCAAAAAGTGCCTTGGTCTTGGTAGCTTATTCAAGACATTTATTTTATATTCTGCAGACTGTGAAACATCTGTTTATTAATGCAGCTTTATGATATGTTGTAAATTGCCTTAACATAAAATATGAAATTGCACATTCGAGCCCAGATTTTCTTTTCATCCCCTTGTGTTCAGCTTGGCAAAAGGCTGATACTGCCAGAAAAAGAAAGAAAACTTTGTTCAAAATTGAAGTTAATACTTTCTTGGAGAAATAACTACTAACTAAAGACAAATACTTGATGAGACTATTTTAATGTATCTATTGTCCTTATTAGGTAGGATATAATTTCTTACTTTAACATATGATGATTTTATTTCAAAGCCATTCTGACTGAATGACTTTCAAGGTTATTTTGCAAATCATAATAATTTAAATACTTAAGGAAACTAGTCAAAAATTTGAAATTAATTGATGGTAAGTTTGATTAATTCTGAGACTTTTAGCTGTATTATTTATCACACCGAAGAGAAGATCATTTCTATATAGCAAACAAAAATGCGTTCCGAGCCATATGTAGTAGTCCATCACACAAAATGTTGAGTTAATGCCAGTCAGAATGTCTCTCTTCTTCAAGTACAGGGATAACAAAATAATGGCGAGACCCAAGATCGTGTGTGCGGTGATGCACTAAAATACCTTGAATAATAACAGATGGGGCCGGACGCGGTGGCTCACGCCTGTAATCCCAACACTTTGAGAGGCCGAGACAGGCAGATCACGAAGTCAGGAGATCGAGACCATCCTGGCTAACGTGGTGAAACCCCGTCTCCACTAAAAATACAAAAATTAGCTGGGTGTGGTGGCAGGCGCTTGTAATCCCAGCTACTTGGCAGGCTGAGGCAGGAGAATCGCTTGAACCCAGGAGGCGGGGGTCGCAATGAGCCGAGATCATGCCACTGCAGTCCAGCCTGGCGACAGAGTGAGACTCCGTCTAAAATACTATTACTACTAATAATAATGACACATGAGATTGCAGGCACAATGCAGTCTGTGAATGAGAACATTATGTAAGAGCTCAAGTCCATGTGCTGAGGAAGTCTCTGAGAAGTCTTGAAGGATATCTGGTCAATTCAGCTGTTACTGGGTTAGACTATTAATTGTCTTATTGCCTTAACTCTCATCAAAAAAAAGGCTGCTCTGCAGGCTTTTTTACTGTGCGAAAGTGATTAACAACACCCCAGCTAGAAAATTCTTCCCAATGTCTGTCTTGAATCTCTCCTGATCTAACACGGTGTATTCCTAGTTCAGCTTCCCTCAGTAGAAACAAAGAAGAATTGCTTAAAAGGGAAATTATTCTATGGGTTTTGTTTCCACAACAAAACAGGAGATAATGTGCCCTATTTTGTAAAACAAATCATTTCATCGAAAACTCTCTTTGAAACCTCTACTCAGAGCTATGTTAAGTTGTTTAGTGACCTCAAGCACCAACACATGGACATGTCACCCATTCCCTACCACTAATAACAGCATTAAAATGTCATTTTGTCTTTAAAAGCAAATATATCCTGAAACTAAACCCACTTCTTTGTAGATCTTCTGACTGTAAAATTCTGGCTAAGTTGATTCATTTATTCTCTGCCTCTTTCTTTTCCTCCCTCCCTTAGTTCCAGCTGTATTGCTGAGCCCTACGAAGGTGCTGTCCTGGGCTGCTGAGTTCTCCTGAGCTGCAGCAAGGATGGGCCAGACTCAGGGCAGGTACTGCCGAATGACAGTGAGCCCTGCTTTCTGGGGGCTCCCTGTTTAATTAGGTGAGGCTGACTTTAGTCACATTATCACACCAGGGAACTGAGGCTCTCAGGCTGATGGAAAATAGCAGGAGTCTACAGGATGGTTATATAAAGCGGCAGGACTGAAGGGTGAGGGAAGGCTGCCCTGAGACTTAACTGTTGAGCCTTGCAAGACAGGACAAGGACAGGATCAGCATAAAGAGGTGGGTGGAGGGTGGGTAGAGAATTCTAAACCAAGGTCAACAGAGTAGTTTTTGTGAAGAGAGGAAGCAGGGAGTGAATGAACAACTGAAAGAGGGCCCACAAGACTGGGATGCCAAGCAAGGGAGAGGAACAATGCCTGGCCCCACACTGGAGGGCACAGTGAACCAGGTTCCACTGGCCAAGAGTCACTCGTGTAGGTGTCTCTGAGCTAGGAGATGTGTACTAATTCCTAACAGGCAAGAGTTTAGGCCGGCATTGGCCATCAGAGAGGATGAAAGAAAAAATTTGTCTTATTTATGGAGCTAGCATAAGAGGAAGCTAGAGCTTTACTAAATGTGAAAATTTAAGTTGATGTATATTCTACATCCTGAACAACCAGTGACAAACTGATGTTCCAATATCTGTTTATACAGTGTGTGTGTTATCATTACACTGGCAAAATGGATGATATGTTTGCCTTATTTCAAATCACTAAGTTTTGTATTATGGTGATATACTCATACTGCTTTCTTATCAACTCAGAAATCCATTATACAAAATCCATTTTTTATGGCCATCTAAATCCTTTATTCAATACCATCAGCCTGGGACATGTTAATATATTTCTGCTAGACATACCACCCAGACTTGAAATGCATAGGACACTAAGCACATAGTGGTAGCAGCATGTTTTCCTTTAATAAAAAGACATTATTTTTGGAGGCAGTTTTACATTTACAAGAAAATTGAGCAGACAATACAGAGAGTTCCTTAAACCCTCCCTAGCTCATCATACCTATTATTAAGATATCTTGCATTCGTCTGGTGTATTTGTTACAATTAATGAGCCAATATTGATACATTATTATTATTAACTAAAATCAACAGTTTCATTAAGGTGTACTGTTTGTGTTGTACATTCTATGGGTTTGGAAAATGTGTAATGTCATATATCCACCATGACATTTTACAGAATGGTTTCACTGCCCTAAAAATCCCCTGTGTTCCACCTATTCATCCCTCCTTCTCCCTGCAAATCCCTGGCAACAACTGTGCTTTTCATTGTCTTCATCGTTCTGCCTTTTAAAGAATGTCATATAGTTCGGCTTACACAGTATGTACTCTTTTCAGATCGGCTTCTTTCACTTAGCGATGGGCATTTAAGGTTTTTTTTTTCCATGTCTACTCATAGTTAAATAGTGTGTACCTTTTTATCACTTAATAACATTCTATTGTATGAGTGTACCAGAGTTTGTTTATCCATTCACTTACTGAAGTTGCTTCCACCTTTGGGCAATTATGAATAAAACTCCTATAAACATCAATGTGCAGATTTTTGTGTTGACCTCAGTTTTCCATACCTTTGGTTAAATGCCAAGACACAATTACTGGATCTTATGGTGACAATATACTTAGTTTTGTGAGAAACCACTTCCCTTCTAAAGTGGCTGTATGGGGCTGTATAGGAAATATTTGAATTAACATCCAAATCACACAATCTTTTTGTTACACTTTAAGCATTAAGAGATTCGTTGTCATAGTTACCTTGGGAGTTAGTTGCTTCTGAGGAGTTGACAAGGGCTCTCGGTAATGTGGTGCATATTAACGTTAACAGGTTATATTAATGAATAAACAATGCATGAACTGTGAAATGTAAGACCATGCAGAGTATATTATTAATAAATAATAATGATTATGTACTACGTATTTATCTTTTGACAGAGAGGTGCACAACAAAAACAAATGTTGATATTCTTGAAAATTTTGAAGTCAAGTCTCAACAATTAAATATAAATTTTGTCTTTCCATGTAAGTGATAGACTAATGAATCTACAGATTTGCAAGTTTATAAGCCGAAGTGAATGAGTGCCTCCTTCTGAAAATTATTATTGGGCTTATGAGTTTATAAGTGCATGCATTTCACCCTGGTTGGCCTAAGCTGGCAATTTCCTCCAAGTGGGCATATTAGGAATACCAAATGTCATGAACAGACTGCAAAGAGAGAGAGGAAGGGAACATTTAGCTTCTGACAGCTGAACCAAGAAAAGGGTCCAACCAAGTTTCCTGGGAAAGCTGCAGGTTACAAATATCAGATGACCAATACCTAACTTCTCTTGTTTATTTTAATTCTTCTGTTTTAATAGACAATATTTCATTTTGACATTTTAAGGAACATTTCTGTGTCTCTGTTCTAGCCCCTGATGTTACCTTTGGAGACTAGGAGGAAGAGAGAGGGAGTAATTAATATAAGAACATATTTTTGAGTAAGAAGAATATGCATGAGTTAACATTTATTAATATATTTTTATTAATCAAAATATATTCACAAGAAATTATTTATATTTAAGAATATGCTCAATAACATATATGTAAAATATATTATTCAGGAGTGCATTCTTAATTCACATGTTCTTTGTGCCACATGTGTCCACTGATCTCTGTGGAAGATTCATAAAAACGATATGTAAGGTATCCAAATTGCTGAAAACCACAGACAATGAGAAAAATCTTGAAGGCACCTAGAGGAAAAATTAAGCATTTACATCAAGCATTTATCAATGAGAAGAATATATTCATCGGAAGAATCGTATTAGTCCGTTCTCACGCTGCTAATAAAGGCATACTCGAGACTCGGTAATTTGTAAAAGGGAGTTTTAATTGACTCACAGTTCAGCATGGCTGGGGAGGCCTCAGGAAACTTAAAATCATGGCAGAAGGGGAAGCAAACATGTCCTTCTTCACATGATGGCAGAAAGGAGAAGTGCTGAGCAAACGGGGGAAAAGCCCCTTATAAAACCATCAGTTCTCGCGAGAACTCACTCACTATTATGAGAACAGCAGCATGGAAGTAACCGCCCCCATGATTCAATTACCTCCCACTGGGTCCTTCCCACAACACATGGGGATTATGGGAACTACAAGTTAAGATGAGATTTGGGTGGGGACACAGCCAAATCATATCAAGAATATATTTTAAAAATAAATCATTTTATTCAAGAATAAACTCATATAAATATGTTTATCTTTTGCACCATCAGTTTTTCCTTTTTTCTTTTAGCTTCCATCTGTCAAAGCAGAAAGCCAGGTCAGAGATAGACCAGCCATCCCTTCACATTTGCTGAGACTATGACACAAGAAAATTAGTCAACCTTAAATAGTTAGCAGAAACAAATTTAACAAAATAGTCATCAGCAAATTGGCCACTCAGCAAAGTGGCTTTGTCAGTGGACCTGGTCGAGACAGCTAGGACCTGCTGCCACAGAAACTGCCTTGGTCAGGTGAAACAACCCCACAGCAGTAAGTGTAGGTAGAAAATCAGGACTGAAGCAATTACACATGTTGTCATTGACCTTTCCATCTGCAGGGGATAATGCAATGAAACCCTGCCACCTTTCCACAGGCTAACTCTCAGAGGAATAAAAAAAAAGTCATGTGCAGGTTGATTTGGGCTAACGAATGATCTTTCATCATTCAACTTTTGATGTTCAAAAGTGTATGTTATTATATTTGTGCACATGTGAAATGAAAGAGAAAGGAGCTTGGACACATGAAAACCAAGGAAAGAAAAACCTAATTTGTTTTACTAATAAAGAATAACAGAAAAAAGGGTAATACCAATTTCACTTGCTTCTATGTCTCTTTTCTATGCCCTCAGGAAGTACAACTTACCACTTTGGGAAGCTTAGGAGGGAGCATCACTTAAGACCAGGAGTTCAAGACCAGCCTGGGCATCATATTGATGTCTCTTCTAAAAGCACTACTAATGCAATAAAATGTATTCTCGTTGAAAATTACATCTGCAGAGAATAAAACAGGAAAAAAACTGCTGTCTTTTCACACTCAATTGTTTATCTTCTGATCTGATTCATCTTGCCATTGTATGTTGCATATAAGTTGTAATAAACTAAAATTGAACATATTGTGGTACATATACACCGTGGAATAGTGGAATACTATGCAACTGTAAAAAAGAATGAGATCATGTCCTTTTCAGGAACATGATGAAGCTGGAGGCCATTATCCTTAGCAAACTAACACAGGAACTGAAAACAAAATACCGCATCTTCTCACCTACAAGTGGGAGTTAAACGATGAGAACACATGGATACATAGAGGGGAACGACATACACTGGGGCCTACCTGAGAGTGGAGGGTGGGAGGAGGGAAAGGGGTACAAAAAATAACTATTGGTTACTAGGCTTAATACCTGAGTGATGAAATAATCTGTACAACAAACCCCTATGACACGCGTTTACCTATATAACAAACCTGCACATGTAACCCAAACTTAAAATAAAAGTTTAATATATAAATATATATATAGTGGCATTTTGGACAGACATTTACATATAGAGATGCATGAATACATAGATCAATAGATGTATGTATTCACGGGTTATTATGAATGCAAATATGCATTTAAAAACAGGGTTTCCAGCACTTTGGGAGGCCGAGGTGGGCAGATCACGAGATCAGGAGATCGAGACCATCCTGGCTAACACAGTGAAACCCTGTATCTATAAAAATACACAAAAAAAATAGCCAGGCATGGTGGTGGGCGCTTGTAGTCCCAGCTACTCAGGAGGCTGAGGTAGGAGAACTGCTTGAACCTGGGAAGCGGAGGTTGCAGTGAGCTGAGATCGCGCCACTGCACTCCAGCCTGGGTGACAGAGTGAGACTCCATCTCAAAAAAAAAAAAAAAAAAAAAAAGGATTTCTGGGCATTTTTGGTTGTCGTTTTGTCTGTTTTGTTTTTATCTATTGACACCAGCAGGAAGGCTTACTTTTTTATAGTAGGTATATATTTCAAACCATAGTCTTAGGTCTTGTGACATAGTTAAAGGAAACATCATATAAGAGCTCAGAGATGTAAAATAGAGCCATTTATGAGGTTTTGAGAACCTGTAATGATACATATATGTTAATTTCATTTAGGTTTTCTGCGTTTGGAACTGTGTACAGGTAAGATGCTCTAAGCTACCATATAGCAAACTTTAAATGAAAATTACCATTACACTTATTTAGCTCCAAATAATTTAATAACTATTACTGGGTTGTTACTAGAAAGAAAAACAGCGCACTGTAATAGTTAATGAAGTAAAGCAGTCCCAATCAAATCTTGCATTGCCCTGACTCGTGTTTTGCTAAAGGAGAGGGAGAGGCATTTTGTTGCATTTCCAGCTGTCTTCCTGGGGAAACAGAACACATTTGGAGAATGTGTTCCCCTTTGTTAATTGTGACACATGTGTCCAGTGACCACCGATGAAGAAATCTTAAAGTGATATGGAATGTGTTCAAATAGCTGAAAACCAGAGACAAAGAGAAATCAACACAAAAACTGAAAATCTCTCATTTTTCTCAAAAGAGAAACATCTTGAGGAAGCTAGAGGCAAAAAGACATTATCAAACAAGAAACAAGGTTAAGAATGGGAGCTGACTTCATATCAGAAACCATGCAAGCAAGAAACGAAGTGACACTTTTGAAGTCATAAAAGAATTCTTAAAAACCTATCAACCCAGAATTCTATAACCATTGAAAAATTCTTTAAATATTTGTTAATTACTCTGGTGATTTTGAATTAAGGTGAAGTTGAATTCCCCTCATGTGGCTTGCAAGTTAGTCTTGTTTTTGTGGTTTGGGTTTTTGTTTTTGAGATAAGGTCTTCCTCTGTCATCCAGGCCGAAGTGCATTGGCACAATCACAGCTCACTGCAACCCCAACATCCCAGACTCAAGTGATCCTCCCACCTCAGCCTCCCACATTGCTGAGACTACAGGTGCACTCCACCACACCTGGCTAATTTTTGTACCTTTGTAGAGATGGGGTTTCACCATGTTGTCCAGGCTGGTTTTGAACTTCTGGGCTCAAGCAATCTGCCCACCTTGTTCTCTCAAAGTCCTGGAATTACAGACATGAGCCACTGTGCCCAGTCTTGCAGGTTGGTCTTAATGACTGACTTTTAAGAAATGGAATATGGAAAAGTAAAAACTGTAATTTTGTAGTGGAGGGAACCATCAAGTCACCAACATAGCCAAGTAATCAAGGTTAACATCAACAATGAAAAGTCATATGGCTACCTCACACCACCGTGACACAATGGGAAGGTCACTTCAACTATGTGAAATTCTTCCTCAAAATTTACAACCCCACTTTAATCAAGAGAAAACATCAGATGAACCCAAATCATTTGATGCACATTCTAAAAAATATCTGGTCAGTGGTCTTCAAAGTGTCAAAGCTAGGAAAGACAGAGAGATTGTCCCTAATTGAAGTCGACTAAGGAGACATGAAGACTAAACACAATATGAGATCCTTGATGGTACCTGGGAACAAAGAGAAGAAATTAGTTAAAAACAAAAACAAAAACAAACTGGTGAAATGTGGGCCGGGCACGGTGGCTCACTCCTGTAATCCCAGCACTTTGGGAGGCCAAGGCAGGTGGATCACCTGAGGTCAGGAGTCTGAGACCAGCCTGGCCAGCATGGTGAAATCCCATCTCTAATAAAAATGCAAAAATTAGCCGGATGTGGTGTTGGGCACCTGTCATCCCAGCTGCTCGGGTGGCTGAGGAATGAAAATCACTTGAAACCAGGAGGTTGAGGTTACAGTGAGCCAAGATCGCACCACTGCACTCCAGCCTAGGCATTAGAGTAAGACTTCCTCTCAAGAATGAAAAACTGGTTAAATATAGCCTGTCATTTAGGTAATAGTATTGTACAATGTTAATTTCTTATTTTTAATAAATGTGCCATGGTAACGTAAGAGGTTAACATCAGAAGAAACTAAGTGAAGAGTGTATAGAAACTGTCTTTACCATCTTTGCAACTCTATGTAAATCTAAAATTATTCCAGAGAATGACTTCACAAGGTGGCAGAATAGAATTTCTCCAGCTCCACACCCCCACACGGAAATCCAACTAGCAACTATCCACAGGCAAGAATACCTTTCTGAATATCCCAGAACTCAGGAGTGAGACTGAGACACCCAATTGTACTGCAGAACTAAGAAAAGCTGTGCTTTGAAGAGTAAGAGGAACAGTTCATTTTGAGCATGCCACCCCTCCACCAAGCTGGCATAGCACGACACACAGAGGATTTCACCAGACCCACAATTTCTACAGTGGGAAAAGAAAGTTGGAGGTGGACATTCAGCTTGCCCACCATTCTAGGACCCTTCACAGGAGGCTCACCCTTGTCTTATACCACAGGAAACATTAGGAGTGCCATCGGGGATAGACCACCTGGAGTCAGCTAGAAACAAAGAATGGGAGTAGATCTCACAGAAACTAGCGTGTAGTTAGTCTGCATTCTGGCTAATGGAGGCATCATATGAGAGAGATTAGCCAACAGCATTGTACCGCAGGAAGTACAGCTCACAGGTGTACCCAGCTAGCATCCCTCGCCAGCTTTCCTACATAGACCTGGTGCTTTCTACAGCATTGCCCAGGCTAGAAGGCAAGTGAAAGTCAGCACTTCTCTGCAGAGGGTACATCTGGTCCCCACCCAGCACCAGCAGCTGACCAGGAACTCCACTAAGCTTTGTTTAAGCCTACCTTAGGCCAGGAGACAAGATCAAGTCCGCACATATGTGTGGGGCATAATGGCTTCTAGCCCTAATCAGCCCTGTGTAGCTGAGCAACAACACCAGAGTCTTTAGGTGACCATAGAGCTCAGCCCAGAGGCCTGTTCAACTACAGATTCTAAACAACAATACCATCCAACCAGCGGAGACAGCCTACGATCCTGCCTGATCAGAGTGAACTGCAGAGTCCAGTTAGCAGTACCATTCAACCTTAGGGCTCAGGAAGTGACACAGCCCAACTAGAGAACCTGACACCAAGCTCTGCCCGTCCAGGGTCATTGCCAGCTAACACATCCAGAATCCCTTCCTACGAAGTAGTAAAGATCTGTCAAGGCCTGGAAGAGGTGGCCGTCTCCTCAAACACAGAAGCATCAATGCAAGACAGAAGTATTATGAAAAGTCAGGGAAATATGATACCACTAAAAGAAAATAATAAAGATCAGATAATAGATCTGGAATATAAGGTGATCTATAAAATGACTGACAAAGAGTTCAGGATAACCCCCTTAAAGAAGTTCAGGGAACTCCAATTAAATTAAATTAAGTTTGAAACCAATTCATGAACAAAATGAGAAATTGACAAAGAACTAGAGATGATAAATAGAAACCAAATAGAAATCTGAGACATAAAGAATACAATAATTTAACTGAAAATGTCAATGGAAAGCTTTGACAGCAGACTTGA
Organism: Homo sapiens; assembly: GCF_000001405.40. Classification (NCBI taxonomy): domain Eukaryota; kingdom Metazoa; phylum Chordata; class Mammalia; order Primates; family Hominidae; genus Homo; species Homo sapiens. The sequence continues at coordinate 62,944,733 of NC_000009.12, read as the reverse complement.
TCAAGCAAAAGAAAGGATCACTGAATTCAAAGATAGGTATCTTGAAATTATCCAGTCTGAAGAGCAAAAAGAAAAAGAATAAAGAAGGCCTGCAGGAATTATGAGATACCATCAGGCAAACTAATATTCACATAATCAGAGATTCAGAAGAAGATAGAGAAGAAGGCCCAAAAAGGATATTTAAGAAAATGGCTGAACATTTCCCCAATCTGGGGAAAGATGACAACATCTAAATACAGGAAGCTCAAAAGTCTCCAATCAAATTCCACTCAAAAAGGAATTTACCAAGATAAAACATAATCAATTTATCAAAAATCAAAGACAAAGAAACAAAACTGAAAGCAGCAAGAGATAAGAAACATATCACATTCAAGGGAACCACAATATGACTTTCAGTTGACTTCTTAGCAGAAACTCTGCAGGCCAAGAGAGATTGGGGTGATATATTTAAAGTGCAGAAGAAAAAGAACTGCCAACCAGGAATTTTTTACTTGGCAAAGTTGTCCTTAAAAAATAAGAGAGAATTGGCTGGGCAGGGTGGCTCATGCCTGTAATCCCAGCACTTTGAGGGGGCCGAGGTGGGCAGATCACGAGGACAGGAGATCGAGACCATTCTGGCCAACACAGTGAAACCCCGTTTCTACTAAAAATACAAAAATTAGCTGGGTGTGGTGGCGTGCACCTGTATTCCCAGCTACTCGGGAGCCTGAGGCAGGAGAATCACTTGAACTTGGGAAGGAGAGGTTGCAGTAAGCCAAGATTGCACCACTGCACTCCAGTCTGGCGACAGAGCAAGACTCCATCTCAAAAAAAAAAAAAAAAAAGATTAAAAAAAGAAATAAGAGAGAATTCCAACTTCCCCAGACAAACAAATCCTAAGGGAGTCTATTACATTATCCCTGCTTTACAGGAATGGCTAAAGGCAGTTCTTTAAGCTGAAATGGAAGGTTTCTACTTAACAACAACAAAAAAATGCATGTAAAAATCTCAGTAACTCAATGGTATTAAGTAATACATAATCAAACTCATTCTCTAACACTGTATGGGTGATACATAAAGCAATCGTATCCTTACTGTGATGATTAAAAGGAAAAACTATTAAAAGCAATTGTAGCTGCAATTGTTAAGGAATACAAATTACAAAAACAAATAAAAAATTTACATCAAAATTATAAAAGGGGGGAGTGAAAGTATGAGATTAAAGTTCAATTATTATCAGCTTAATGTAGCTTGTTATAAAGCTCACACATTTTACGTAAGCCTCATGGTAACCACAAAGCAAAAAGAAAACAACAAGAGAGAAATAAAGAAACAGGGACTTACAAAAAATTCAGAAAATGAATGACAAAACAGCAGTAGCAAGTGCTTACCTATCAGTAATTACTTTGAATGTAAACAGATTAAATTCTCCAACCAAGAGACTTAGGACAGCTGAATAATTTTTTTTTTTTTTAAAGAACCATATGCTGTCTACAAGAGACTCACTCTACTAGTGAGGACACATACAGACTGAAACTGAAGGTATGGAAAAAGATACTCCATGCAAATAGACATCAAAAGAGACCAAGAGAATCTATATTTATATCAATCAAAATCGTCTTTAAATCAAAAACTGTAAAAAGAGATAAAGAAGGTCACTAAATAATGAGAAAGGGGTCAATTCACCAAGAGGACATAACAATTGTAATTATATATGCACCCAACATCAGAGTACCTAAATACGTAAAGCAATTATTAAATGACATAAAGGGATAAATAAATGGCAATACTACAATATTATGGAACCTCAACACCCCTCTTTCAAAAATGTCCATACAACCCAAAATGATCTACAGTGTCAATGTAATCTCTCTCAAAATTGCAATGTCATTTTTCACAGCAATAAAAAATATCCTTAAATTTGTGTGGAATTACAAAAGACCCTAAAGAGTCAAAACGATCTTGGGCAAAAGGAAAAAAGCTGGTGCCATTACACTCCCTAATTTCAAAAATCTTATGAAGTTATTGTAATGAAAATAGCATGGCACTGGCATAAAAATAAACTGACTGATGAAACAGGATAGAAAGCCTAGAAATCAACCCATGCATGTATGATCAATTGATTTTTGACCAAGGTGCCAAGAACACACAACGGGGAAAGGACAGTATCTTCAATAAATTGTGTGGGGAAAACTAGCTATCCACATGAAGGAGAATGAAATCAGATCCATATGTTATACCACATACAAAAATCAACCCAAATGGATTAAAAATCTAAACATAGTATCTGAAACTGTGAAACTACTAAAAGAAAACAGAGAAAAATCCCCACAACATTGGCTGGGGCAATGATTATTTGGATATGACCCCAAAAGCACAGGCAACAAAAGCAAAAAGCAAAAAGCACAGGTAATAGAAGCAAAAAGCAAAAAGAGAGAAATAAAATGGCATCAAACTAAAAAGCCTCTTCACAGCAAACCTTTAAAGTGAAGGGACAGCCCACAGAATGGGAAAAAATATTTGCAAACTATACAGCTAATAAAGGGTCAATATCCAAAACATATAAGAAACTCAACACAAATACCATCAGTCTAAATTGGTGAGCCCTTTCAAACTGCAGCTCACTTTAGTTATTTATTTATTTATTTATTTTGAGACGGAGTCTCGCTCTGTCACCCAGGCTGGGGTGCAGTGGCGCGATCTCGGCTCACTGCAAGCTCCGCCTCCCGGGTTCACGCCATTCTCCTGCCTCAAGCTCCAGAGTAGCTGGGACTACAGGCGCCCGCCACCACGCCCGGCTAATTTTTTGTGTTTTTAGTAGAGACCGGGTTTCACCGTGTTAGCCAGGATGGTCTCCATCTCCTGCCTCGGCCTCCCAAAGTGCTGGGATTACAGGCGTGAGCCACCGCGCCTGGCCTTTTTTTTTTTTTTTTTTTTTTACTTTAAGTTCTGGCATACAAGTGTAGAAAGTGCAGGTTTGTTACATAGGTATACATGTTCCATGGTGGTTTCCTGCACCTATCAACCCGTCATCTAGATTTTTTTTTTTTTTTGAGACATAGTCTCACACTGTCATCCAGCCTGGGGTGCAGTGGCGCGATCTTGGCTCACTGCAAGCTCCGCCTCCCAGGTTCACACCGTTCTCCTGCTTCTGCCGCCAGAGTAGGTGGGACTACAGGCTCTCGCCACTACGCCCGACTAATTTTTTGTATTTTTAGTAGAGACGGGGTTTCACCATGTTAGCCAGGATGGTCTCAATCTCCTGACCTCGTGATCCGCCTGCCTCGGCCTCCCAAAGTGCTGGGATTACAGAAGTGAGCCACCGCGCCCGGCCCCATCATCTAGGTTTTAAGCCCCACAGGCATTAGGTATTTCTCCTAATACCCCCTCCCCTTGCCCCCCAACCCCGTAACAGGCCCCAGTGTGTGATATTCCCCTCCCTGTGTCCATGTGTTCTCATTGTTCAGCTCCCACTTAGGAGTGAGAACATGCAGTGTTTGATTTTGTGTTCCTGTGTGAGTTTGCTGAGAATGATGACTTCCAGATTCATCCATGTCCCTGCAAAGAACATGAACTCATTCTCTTTTATGGCTACATAGTATTCCATGGTGTATATGTCCCACATTTTCTTTATCCAGTCTATCATTGATGGGCATTTGGATTGGTTCCAAGTCTTTGCTATTGTAAATAGTGTTGCAATAAACATACATGTGTATGTGTCTTTAGAGTAGAATGATTTATAATCCCTTGGGTATATACCCAGTAACGGGAATGTGCAGCTCACATTTTTAATTTGCTCAGAGTTTTCTTCTCTTTGGATGCATATTTATTGTCTCTGCTTCTTTTTCTTTTTCAGAATTTTTAGATTTGTGTAAATTTCCTCTATCGATTACCACGTCACTTTTATTTTCCATCCCATCTTTGTCTCTTAGTATTTTTGCTCTGAGACTTGAAATGGTCCATCTTTTCCTTTGCCGGTCTCCAAGCCCTCCTCTAGCCCTGAGGTAGGAAAGCCCACAATAGCTCTCCTACCACTCTCAGGCCTTCATCTGCCTGCTGACGGTCCAAAAACGTCTTGCTTCAGGAGCACAGGTTGGAGTTAGAAGTGAAATTAGAGTCAAATTAGAAGATTTTAAACTATTATTTCCCCAGAACCGCACAGAATCGGCAGCTACATTAAATTTCTTACCCACAGAGCTGATTTTAGAAATACATAACTGCAGACATTTTTAATGGTGACTGTCCCGTTAAAAGGTAATAGGGATGCATGTGTCCCCATTAAAGGACTTGCCTTGTTCCATTAAAAGGTAATGGGGATGCATGTGTGTGTGTGTACATGTGTGTGGGTTATTATCCACCAAAAAGCAGCAAAAGTTTTTTATATATATTTTAAAGAAAATAATAGAAGCGTTTTGTCATGCTATACTTAGAATTCTTAACATCATAACTCTTATTACAATGTATGTTTTAAGATTAAAAAACGGTATTATTTAAGGTGGAAAACCTTGGTAAATGACATTCTATTTATAATATATATTTTATATTCATAATTATGTTATACTCTTATATGCAATATTGAACACTAATATAATTTGTTTCATGGTACACCTGGCACGTAATTCTCTCATATCTTGGAGATGGTTCACATACATTTTTCTAATTCTGTCCTGACTAGTCTTCCTATTAACTGTTTAAAGAACTTTATACTCCACTATGGAAATCCTTCTTTTTAATAAATAAATGTGCTTTATGTAATATTTCCATAAATAGTTTTAAATTACACCTGGACCATGACTCATACAGAAATATGTACATACACACATATCTATATATTTATATGTATAAACATATGTACACATATCTATATACAGAAATGTATTTCTATCTGTCTTTCCTATTGGATGTCTTGAAACTCCATCTTTGGGTTCCTTTCTTTTAACTTAAAACCTATTTTTCCTACTAAAATGTAATGAAAAAAATAAAACCAACTGGGAGAACTAATAGTTGGCATTTTCTTACTAATTTATGCCTCAGTGGGACAATATTTTATCAACTCTTAGCATGGAAAAACAAATACACTTTGGTTTTGACAGAAAAAAAGGAGAAAAAACATTAAGCATCTCAGGCAAGAAAGGGATGGGAAAAGCGTGATTTGGGTGAAGCTAAGTAGTGAAGTAAATGTCACATGGTAGCCTAAGAAGCTGAGGACAATTTTCACTTGCATGACAATTTTTAGTAGAGTTGCTTAGTCACTTCAAAAACAGATTTAATACATTTTTTCTCTTAAAAAATCTACAGCAAGAAATCCAGAAACCAATACAATTTCTATCATTTCAATCCAGAATTCTTTCAATTGTTTCAGGTTATGGAAGCATTGGCCCATAAAATATTTTGCTTGATAATGTTTTCCAAAAAGGAAAATCTTTTCTGCTCTCATCAACAACAAAATGTCTGGAAGAAAAAGGAAATATTAAGGAATAAAAATTTGGCTGAAGAGCCTCTCTACTTAAAGGAATGAAAGGTGTTTCAAAAAGTTACTAACAATAAGCACAAAAACAATTAAACATTAAATATAGAAACAAAAGAAATATTTCATGATTTTCTGTAGCTCTTATTGGCAATCAAAAACTAGAAAACAAAAGCAGCAGGGGGGAATGCAAGAATAAATGAAGTGCAGAGAAAGGGCAAACATGAGTAAATAGTAATGAAAGCTTTTTAAAACTACAATAATAATAATATCTTGTAGAAATATAAAATGCAATAAAAAAGTGTATTACAACAATGGCACAAGGGTGAGAGATACACAAATACATGGAAGTAAACTTGTAAGGATCTTGCATTCTTTGGGAAGTGGCCAAAGTACTAATAACTTAAGAGAACATATTGTGATCTTGAGGGAAATGACTAAAAGTTTCATTACAGCTGCAAAGCTAATACAGGAGATTCATAGCCAACAATTGGAAATTACCCAAAAATTCATCAATAAAAGAATGGATAAACAAATCCATTGTATGAATTCCATTCATATAATGGAAGAGTACATAACAGTGGAAAGGAATGAACTAAAAATATCTACCAAAAATTGGAGGAATATCAAAACATTTTGCTAAGGAAAATGAGCAAGACACAAGATGACATACTGTATGATTCCATTTATATGTTCAAGAAAAGGCAAAACTAATCAATGGTGATAAGAGATTGTTTTGGAAAGGACACAGGAAACTTCCTAGGTAATGGAAATGTTCTATATGTTGATCTGAATGAGGGTAAAGAGAGAGAAGGAGGAAGAGAGAAAGAGAGTCATTGAATAATACTGAAGATCTGAGCTAAGAGTCCTTAATGGATATACAAATATTAAAAGGAGCCTTCTTAAATTGTACCACACACTTTAACCTGGATTCATAAAGCATCAAAAGTAGAAGGGATATAGAGGGATCATTTATTCCAATCTCCTCAATTTTACAGATGAAAAAACAGACACAGAAGAATAGTTGCTGTATTAGTCTGTTCTCACACTTCTATAAAGAACTGCCCGAGACTGGGGAATTTTTTTTTTTTTTTTGAGATGGAGTCTCATTCTGTAGCCAGGCTGGAGAGCAGTGGCACAGTCTTGGCTCACTGCAACCTCTGCCTTCCGGGTTCTAGTAATTCTCCTGCCTCAGCCTCCTGAGTAGCTGGGAGTGCAGGCACATGCCAACATACCCAGCTAATTTTTGTATTTTTAGTAGACACAGGTTTTCACCATGTTGGCCAGGATGGTCTCAATCTCTTGACCTCATGATCCACCCACCTTAGCCTCCCAAAGTTCTGGGAGTACAGGCATGAGCCACTGCACCCAGTGAGACTGGGTAATTTATGAAGAAAAGAGGTTTAATTGACTCACAGTTCCACAGGCTGTACAGGAAGCATAACTAGGAAGCCTCAGGAAACTTACAATCATGGTAGAAGGTGAAGGGGAAGCAAGCATGTCTTACTATAGCAGAGCAGGAGAGAAAGAGTGAAGGGGGAAGTGCCACACATTTTTAAAACATCAGGTCTCACGATAACTCACTCATTATCATGAAAACAGCAAGGGGGAATCTGCTCCCATCATCTAATCAGCTCCCACCAGGTCCCAATTCAACATGAGGTTTGGGTGGCAACACATAGCCAAACCATATTATGCCACCCCTAGTCCCTGCCAAATCTCATGTCCTTCTCACATTTCAAAACACAAGCATGCCTTCCCAAAAGTCCTCCAAAGTCTTAATTCCTTCCAGTACTAACTCAAAAGTCCAAGTCCCAAGTGTCATCTGGAACAAGGCAAGTCCTTTCTGCCTATGAGCCTATAAAACCAAAAACAAATTAGGTACTTCCAAGATACAATAAGGGTACAGTCATTGTGTAAATGCTCCCATTCCAAATGAGAGAAATTGGCCAAAACAAAAGGGCTACACATCCCATGCTAGTCTGAAATCCAGCAGGGGAGTCATTACATTTTAAAGCTTCAAAATAATCTCCTTTGACTTTGTCTCACATCCCGGATACATTAATGCAATGGGTGGCCTCCCAAGGCCTTAGAAAGTTCTGCCCCTGTAGCTTTGCATCATACAGCCTCCACGGCTGCTTTCTCAGGCTGGAATTGAGTGCCTGTGGCTTTTCCAGGCACATGGTGCAAAATGTCAGCAGATCTACCATTCTGGGATCTGGAGGACAGTGGCCCTCTTCTCATAGCTTCACTAGGCAGTGCCCCAGTGGGGACTCTGTGTGGGGCCTCCAACCCCACATTTCCCCCCTGCACTGCCCTAGTAGATGATCTCCACGAGGTCTCCACCCTTGCAGCAGACTTCTGCCTGGACATCCACACATCCTCTTAAACCTAGGTAGAGTTTGCCAAACCTCAATTCTTGCCTTCTGCACACCTGCAGGCCCAACACAATGTGGAAGTCACCAAGGCTTGGGGCTTACACCCTCTGAAGCAATGGACAAGCTGTATCTTGGCCCCTTTTAGCCAAGGCTAGAGCTGAAGTGACCGTGATGCAGGATGCCATGTCCCTAGGCTGCACAGAGCAGTGGGTCCCTGAGCCTGGCCCACAAAACCATTTTTGCGTCCAGGCCTGTGATGGGAGGGGTTGCCTTGAAGTTCTCTGAAATATCTTGGAGGCATTTTCCCCCTTCTCTTGGCTATTAACATTCGGCTCTTCTTTACTTATGCAAATTTCTGCAGCCTTCTTGAGTTACTCCCGAGAAGATGGGTTTTCTTTTCTACCACATGGCCAGGCTGCAAATTTTCTGAACTTTTATGCTCTGCTTCCCTTTTAAATGTAAGTCCCAGTTGCAGGTCATTTTCTTTGTTTATGCAAATAAGCATAGGCTTTTAGAAGCAGCCAGACCACCTCTTGAATGCTTTGCTGCTTAGAAATTTCTTCCAACAGATACCCTAAACCACCTCTCTCAAGTTCAAATTTCCATAGATCCCTAGAGCAGGGGAACAATGCCATCAGTCTCTTTGCTAAAGCATAGCAAGAGTGACCTTTACTCCAGTTCCCAATAAGTTCCTCATCTCTATCTGAGATCACTTCAGCCTGGACTTCACTGTCCGTATCACTATCAGCATTTTGGTCACAACCATGCAACAAGTCTCTAGGAAGTTCCAAACTTTCCCTTATCTTCCTGTCTTCTTCTGATCCCTACAAACTGTTTCAACCTCTGCCTGCTACCCGGTTCCAAAGTCACTACCACATTTTCAGGTATCTTTACTGCAATGTCCCACTTCTCTGCTACCAATTTTCTGTATTAGTTTATTGCTATAAAGAACTACCTGAGACTGGGCAATTTATTTTTAAAAAGAGGGTTAACTGACTCTCAGTTCCATACGCTGTGCAGGAGGCATGGCTGGGGAGGCCTCAGGAAACTTACAATCATGGCATAAGGTGAAGAGGAAGCAAGCACATATTCACTTGGCCAGCAGGAGAGAGAGTGAAGGGGGTGGTGCTACACACTTTTAAACAACTAGATCTTGAGAGAACTCATTATCACAAGAATATCAAGGGGGAAATCTTCCCCCAGGGTCCAGTTACCTCCCACCAGTTCCCTCCCCCAACGTTGGGGATTACAATTCAATGTGAGATTTGGGTGGGGACACAGAGAAGAGCCAAACTATATCAGATACCTTGTCACAGTCTATGGTGCAACTTGTAAATGGAAGAGCCAGTGCTAGGATCCAGTTATCTTGTATCCACTGCAGCACTTGCTCAGAACCATTTTTTATGAAAAATTCAAATTCCATAAGAATTAAATGAAGGCAGAAGACAAATAATATAGCATTTTAAAATTAATTCATACAGTTCATAAGTCAGAAGACAAATAATATAGCATTCTAAAATTAATTCATACCGTTCTTTTATTCCAAACTTAATCTTAGTTGTCTCATTAAGTGAAAGTTTCTGGGTTGACCACCGATGAAGACACAGACAGAAGCTATGAATTTTACACATACTTTGATCACATTTTTTCTTGCCTGAATTATTAGAAGAATAACACATTTCATTGTGCTTGATTGCTAAGTGAGACAGATAAATGTAAGATTATTTTTGAAGCAATATTCTTGCTCGTCTTTCAGGAAGCACTTTACTCATGATTACATGTGCACTTAGATAAAAGTACAGTTTTTATCTTGATTGTCACTCATGATGTAATTATTCATAAACTTAAGAAAAGAAGTTTCTTTCAGCATGACAAATGGTTCTCATGCTTGTGACATGACACTTTTGATCTGTTATGTGAAGGGAAAGGTTTTTCTTCCACCTACCTAAAATTTTCCCCAATACAAGAAATTTGACAGCACTGAATGAATTCTGTACCTGACAGGATGACTTGTCTCCTTGCATTCTGTTAACCTAGCAATTTGTTCCAATAGAAGCATTCAAATGAAGAGTAACTTTGTGATAAAAAGACAGGAAGCAAAGGAAAACCAAGGGAAAAAAATCATAAAATAAACCACCTGTTAGTGCTACCAAAAAGATTAAGAGATCAATTCCAAGATTTATATACTAAGAGGAAAATATTTTTAACCAACTTATAGAATGCCAAAAGCTGCCACTCCACCTGTTATCTCCTTTCCCAATTTACTTTGCTTCATAGGATATCTATAACTGGGAGGATCTACAAAGAAATACAATGCATTACTTTATACCTCAAAACTTTTAACTAAGAATAAAATATTACATGAGGCAGAGAAATGTTCTATCTATAGATTTAATATCTAAATGATTTTCTTCAAAAGCCAGTAACAGAGTAAAGTTTATTTTGTGGTGACTTTTCATTATGTATCCTCATTTTAATCAAAATCAGGTTGTTTTTCTTGTTCTAAATTGCTATTATATATAGCATTTGTGGTTTGACAATTCAATGAAAATAGGTTTTCACCGAAATATCAATTCAAAGTTTCTACCAGTAGTATCCAGTGATAAAATCGACTACGTTTCCTTATGAACTAAAAGCAAAACTTGGCATCTAAGTAATCAAATGTTAATAATAGCTTGGATAGATTCTCATTGTTAAACAAAAGCAAAGCAAAGAACAAAAGCAAAACCAAACAAAACGCTGTAATTATATTTGACTTCACTTCTTACTTATACATACATATATATATATGTATGTATATCATTGGTTGGGCATTTTTTCCCAGTCATTTATTATCAAATGTTTGTGTAAAGTCATTGATGCTAGAAAGTCATAATTTTAATTAATGCGTTACCTCTACAATTGCTTCTTTCATGTTCATTCTAAAATGGTGAAACTGCTATCAGCTAAGTTTTTTAAATCAAAGTAAAAGGAATCAGAATCTTGATGTCAGTCTAGCCTGTACCTGACCTGCAAACTCCCTAAAAAGGAAAAAAAAAACTGTATTTAAAACTTCTCATGTAGAGTCAAGGATACTTTTTAAGTCCCCTTTCCTGGAATATTGATTACTTAAGTGCTTTTCCAGAATCTCTGAGCTCAGTTACAGTCAGCCCTTCCTATCCATAGGTTTTGCATCCATGGATTCATCCAATCATGGATAAAGTATCTTCAAAAATTAAAAATAACACAAATTTTAAAACAGTATGTAAAACAACGATTTATATAGTGTTTACATTGCACTGGGAATTATAAGTAATCTAGAGATTATTTAAAGAGAGAGTGTAAGTGTGGGTTACATGCAAATACTTCATCATTTACATAAGGAACTCAAGCATCCATGGGTTTTGGTATCCCCAGGGAGTCCTGGAACCAATGCACCACCAATACTGTGTTAAGTATCAAGACAAATGGATTAATCATAAGCTATGTCTTCTCTACAGTTCTTTCACCATGTATTTCCTTTAGAAAAACACTAAAGTAAGTATGAAAAGCTTTGGCTCTAATTTCTCATAAATTACTTATAATTTGATATTTACAAATATAATTATGAATTATAAGTTGATATCGTATTGTAATAACATTTTGTTTCTATAATCATGCCTCTTTTTAATGTGATTTTCTCATGTATTTTAATATATTGCAGAAATGCAATAACTGAAGAACTTGTTTTATGTACAGTGAGAAATTTGTATACAAAGTCTTCTACCATAATAAAAAAAATGAAGAGGAGCACCAAAACAAGTAATTTGCCAAGAGTCAGTTTTCCTTGGATTCGTATATTCCAATTCCCCTGCCACCACCCCACACAGACATGTTCACATTTGCCACCACTCTCTCACTGCCTGCAATGAGATCTAGTTAGCCAGAGTTGTTTTTCAGGCTTTTTCAGATATTATGTTCATGTTTTGACTTGCCATGTAGCATAGTTAAGGAGGCCTGGCTTTGTTTTCCTACTGTGAAAGGTTTGGAGAGTTTGATGTCCCACTGGGCTGAATGAATGACAGTCAATTCAACTTTCTTCCTCACGTAGGTATGCATAAGTGACTTCTCAACTATTAGAAAGTTACTTTTAAGTAGGATTCACTTGAGTAATAACCACCTTAATATTTCTCTTCTTCTCTTAAAAGGAAGAGAAACATTTGCCATATAAAATACTGTATATCTTATTCCAATATGTGGCAAATTTGATTTTTATTATTCATATGCAATACTAAAGACCCTCAGCAACATTTCAAATCAGAGTTTCACATGAAATATGTAAAATTGCCAAACTTGAACTGAAAGGCATCTTAATTTCATCATTGAAATGCTAACTTTTGCAATAAATATTTTGAATATTACTGAAAAATAAAAGAGAATGAAAGTTGGAGGGCATGTCATATTTTTATCTGTAGCTTGAACACTGCGATGATCCACCTCATTGCCATAATATTTTTATAATTTAATTTTCTCATTAACTCTCATTCACTTTAAAAAATATTTGCCATGTTGCACAAGGATAACCAAAAGATATTCCTCAGAGAAGGCACACACATAAATCAGTAAGCTTGGAGCTCATGTCTATTATGTAGTTTTGGAATTATTCCAAAGACTTGCATAGTTTGCTACGTTTTGCTGTAACAAGAACTTAGACCGTACTCCCTCCAGCCCTCAAGAATGCGATGTCTGCCGGGAGCGGTGGCTTCTGCCTGTAATCCCAGCACTTTGGGTGCCCGAGGACGGAGGATCATGAGGTCAGGAGTTTGAGAGTAGCCAGTTCGAGACCATCCTGGCCAACATGGTAGACCCCGTCTCTACTGAAAATACAAAATTAGCCGGGTGTGGTGGCGTGCGCCTATAATCCCAGCTACTCAGGAGGCTGAGGCAGCAGAAACACTTGAACCCAGGAGGCAGAGGTTGCAGTGAGCTGAGATCAGGCCACTGCACTCCAGCCTGGGTGACAGAGCAAGACACCGTCTCGTGGGGGGAAAAAGAATGCAATGTCAAAACTCATCAGACCCATCATATGTGAGTTACTGACCTCAACCACTGGATTTCAAAATACATATAAACATAAGAGCTCGATGAACACTTTGAGAACTTCAGTAAGTCTCAGCCACTTCTCCAAAAATGGAGAGCATATTCTGTGACAGGGTTGCCCTGCCAGTCAATTCTTGGAAGACTGAACTCATGCAGCAACAGAGCCCCACCCTGTCAGCAGCTGAGCTTTGAAGCCTCGCCTGCATCACTGGCACCACCCACTGGTGTCAAGGGACCCCAGGTGTCTTTGAGGATCTCCATGGTGTCAAGACACCATCTCTCCAGAGAATTCGCTTGAAAAAAAGGTGCACCTCAAACTTTCATTCGATTTGCCTTTCCACAGAGGCCTGCTTCCATTTCTACTTCAGGAACTAGACTTTAATATTTGGAACTCACTCCCTCTGTGGTTAATGTGCCTCATCTTTTGAGTGTATTCCCTGTAGATTTGTTCACATTATTCTTCTCCTTTTTGAGCATTGTGAACTTAAGAAAACAAATTCTCCTTGCATGGCAATAACCATGTGATTTGTGAAATCATACTTTGAGCATCTTATTTTAACCATACAAAACAGCGTGGCTCAGAAATTCAATGTGATCTTTCCTCTGGTCAGTGACATATCCCCATGAAGTGAAGCAGCAAGGCAGTAAAGGAACAGGGGTTTTAGTTAAGGGGTAAAATGGGTAATCTTCTTGGAAATTACAAGCAACTGAAGAGCTCATTCCAAAATATGCAGAAATCTCTGAAATCATACATACTTTTTATGTTAGCAAAACTTAAGTGCAAGGAGTCATAATTTAGGTTTATTTAAAGAATGTCTCCAGTCTTGAAATAACCTGAGTGATAAAATAATAATACAATCTTTACTTTTATCTACTTGTTTCTCTTTAATTTTACCACACTTAATATGACATAAAGTAAAATATAACAGTTCTTCAATACATATTTTTCAGAACTAAATAACATTTAAGGGAGATATCGTGATAGTCTTCAAAATATTTTCACCTTAGATTACATATCATTATTTTTTGGTATCAATTTCTAATTTAAAGCTATTTTTCCACTTAGGATCCTAGTTTTTATTTAAATTTTATTTAATTTTTATCTCCTCTTTTTTCATCTATTGTTTTACAGATCGCTTACAATAATTTTCCCTCAGTGCATAGAAAGGAGTGAGCTTGACAACCACCCACCCCCTTGAAAATCAATAGAAGTTGTCTTTTATAATAAAGCTCTCCCTTATTTACTGGAGAAGTGAAGCTAAGTATACAGATGCATCAGCCTGAGTCAGAAAGAGAAGCAGATATTGCTCAGCAGGAAGCCAGGATAGTGGGATTTCCAACTTCCTCTAGGTCGTTTTGTGAAAGGTGGTATCATTTTATGTTAAGACAAATTCCCAGAAATGTTACCACCCTACACACACACACACACACACACACACACACACACACACGGAGGCAAGGAGGAGGCTACTGTGCCTTGGGCACTTGCCTAGGCATTGCCTGAAAATTACAGATAATTGTCACTAACCAATCTAATTGCAACTGTTAAAAGAAATAACCCTCAATTCAGAGTATTTCCTATTCAAATGCAATACAATTTTTGTTTCTAATATATTAGGTTGCACAGAAACACTAAGATTGTACTTAAATATGGACTGAGGACCATTTTAAACATTACAGTAAAGTAGTGATCACAATTTCATCTGGTTATATTAAAAGTGTTCTGGAATGGTATTGGGAACTGATTTTTTTTTTTTGAGATGGGGCTCTCACTATGTTGCCCAGGGTGGTCTCTATCTTCTGGGATCAAGTGATCCTTCTGCCTCAGTTTCCCATGTGGCTGGTACTACTGGTGCATGCCACTGTGTCTGTCACATTTTTTAAAATCATAAACTGATTCTAAATTATAAATAAATCAAGAGGAAAGACAGAGGACTTACTATGGTGCTATCTTGACAACATCAAAGTAACTAATCCCCAAAAGTTTATTCAAAAATCACAAGTTGTTTCATCTTAGACCCAATTTCTGTACCAAATAAAGCCTATTATACTCCATAATGAAGAGTACAGATAATGAAAAGTACAGAGCCCAGTGATGCTTAAATGATGCCATGTAATCTAATAGCTTTGATGAGTCAGTTTCCAAGATATATAATTATATTCAAAGAGTTCTGTCTGGTTCTGTTGATACTACAATCAAATTCTTCCTTCGCTGCAGACAACACCTTGTACTTAAGCAGAAGCTGAGTCATGCCCCCCACTATACGCCTCTAACAACGGATATGTGAAAGTCTTAGAGCTAAATGTCTGAGTGGTCCTGTTTTATAACAGATCAATGGTTCCTGAAATTAGTATTTGCCTTCCAGGCTAAAATATTTTTTCTACAGTGTTCCAAATATTCTTGCATTTCTTAAAGTCATTGTCATAAATAGCAATGATGCTTTGATAATCCTGATAACAAACTACTTCCAAACTGCAGCAACAGAAGGAAAATGGTAGGATATACAGAAAATCTTTTGAGAAATCCAGAGAGGACTGATATTAGACATAACAGCAATAACCTGTGGCTTTTCAAGAAGAGAAGCGCATTTCTTCCCAATTAAAACTAGGAATTCTCGACAGATATAGTTCACTTTCAAGTGACTAGAATTGTCGCATTCCTTATAATGTCAAATGAAATATTCTTTGTTTCCTATGTTCACCGGCTCCTTGGTCACACTTACTATTTGAGCAGAACAGTCCATCATACATCGAGAAGGCACAGTCACAAGCGATCCCTCTGCGTTTCTCTCACATCTCCCTCAGAGGTGACACACTTGGCCATAGCTATGCAGTGTCCAGCATGCCCTGGCTCCACTCTTGGAGTCACTGTGGCTCTTTCTTTCAGATCCGGGATTGTCCCTTTCAACTGCAGAAAATGAATGCATTCCAGAAAGCCTGGGTCTGGTGGCCATTTCACCTGCAAGGGAAGCACTGCAAATACAAACACATTCCTTTGTGTTTTATTCAAGATTTCATCACCCTGTCAAACTGAGGCCTTATGGAGAATAGCAGAAACTGTGATCACTCAAAAGGTCTCAAGAACAAATATAATTTTGGAAACATACATTTAATGAAATGTTAAGTAATGGCAAATTACTTCATTTATTTATTTACTATATATATTCATATTTTACTTGACACATAATAATTGTACATATTTATGGGGTACAGTGGGATATTTCAGTAGATGTATAAAATGTATAATGATCAAATCAGGGTAATTAGCATGCCCATGACCTCAAACCTTTATCATTTCTTTGTGTTGGTAACATGAAAAATCCTCTCTCCCAGGTATCTGAAAAAAAAGACAACACACTGTTGTTTACTGTGGTTACCCTATAGTGCTGTACAACACTAGAACTTATTCCACCAACTAACTGTAATGTTGCAGAAGACAATACTGACCACATTTGTGAAATATTATTCTAATATGAATGATAATTATAGGTGGGGTTTTATGCTAACATAGCTGCCAAGAATTCCATAAATGAATGCCCACAATTGTAAGCGAGAAAACAAGATTATTCAATTTGGTGTGTGTGTGTGTGTGTGTGTGTGTGTGTGTGTTTCTATTCTCAGGCAGGGAGTTGGTTTTAGTTCTTTTTTTAAGAGGCCCAAACTCATACTACTGTAAGAATTAACTGCAAGTTAATTATTGCAAGTTGAAGTTATTTATAAGACTATGGTATGTATGTACATACACACAATTCTGAATTCACTGTGTAATATTAGTACTCAAAATCATATATATTGTACAGGAGAACAACCTGTGTGATAATTCATGAGTTATCTCAGTCTCTAATTGGACAGTACAATTATTTACTTTAAAATAGATTAGAAATCACCAACAGAGAGCTTTTTCTTTTAAACTAAATGCAAGCAGAGTAAAAAGAAATGTAGAGTAGAAAGAAATGAAGCAAAATATAGGTCTTCCTTTGGGAAAAAAGTCAAGACACAAAAGCAGTTGAAGAGGTGTCTTTCATTTCCTAGAGTGATACACATATTTAGCAGTTCGGTAATTTTTGTTTAACAGCCATATTGAGGCTTTATTGGCATATGATGAACACACATGCTTAAAGTGCAGGACTTGTTAAATTTTTACATATGTATACAACCATGAAACTATCATCACAATTAAAATAAGGAATATATCCATCACCCCAGCAAAATATTCTCCTCCCTCTTGATAACCCCTCCCCCATAACCTCCCTGCTTCCCTCAAATCCCTGGCAACCACAGATCTGATCTCTCTCATGATTAGTTTCTATTTTCCAGAATGTCATATAAATGGAACCACACAGTATTTACTTTTCTTTATCTGGCTTTTTTCTTTCAGCAGAATTATTTTGAAATTCATTAATGTGTAATATGTATCAATAATTCATTCCTTTTTATTGCTGAGTAGTATCTCGTTGTGTGAATATAGCTCAATTTGTGTGTTCATTCATTTGAAGATGGGCATTTGAATTGTGTCCAGTTTTCATCTGTTATAAATAAGCTACTATGACCATTTATGCACAGATGGTCATATGAAAATATCCTTTCATTTCTCTTGGGTAAATACCTAGACAAGAATAGCTATGTCATATGGTAGATATCTGTTTAACATTTAAGAAACTGCCAAATTGTTTTGCAGAATGTTTGTCTTTATGCCAAATTGCTTTGGTTGATTTTATTATGGTAAACTAAACTTGAATTACTGGTATAAGTCAATTTTTTGAAACTTTGTTAAGATTTTTTTGCATCTGTGGTCATGAAGTACTGTATTTTTACTTTTTAAAAATGTCTGTCTAGGTTGGGCATGGTGGCTCACGCCCATAATCCCAGCACTTTGGGAGGTCAAGGTGGGCGGATCATGAGGTCAGGAGGTCGAGACCAGCCTGGCCAAAATGACGAAACCCTGTCTCTACTAAAAATACAAAAAATTATTAGGGCATGGTGGGGGGCACCTGTAATCCCACCTACTCAGGAGGCTGAGGCAGGAGAATCACTTGAACCCAGGAGGTGGAGGTTGCAGTGAGCCAAGATCACGCCACTGCACTCCAGCCTGGGTGACAGAGCGAGACTCCGTCTCAAAAAAGAAAAAAAAATGTCTGTCTGAATGTGGTGTCAGAATAATGCTGGACTTGTAGAATGAGTTCAAAAGTATTCTCTCCTCTTCAATTTTCTGAATGAGTTTATGTTTATTTGTTATTTCTTCCTTAAATGTTTGCTAGAAAACTCCAGCGAAGCCATCTGGGCCTGGAATTTTTTTTGTGGGAAGGTTTTTAACTATAAACTCAATCTAATTAATAGACTATTCATGTCGTCTATTTCTTCTTGAGGCAGTGTTAGTAGTTTACATCTTTCAAGGAATTTGTCTTTACTTCTAAGCTGTCAAACATACTGGCATACAGCTTTGCATTGTAATCTCTTATTATGCCTTTTAATATATGTAATGTATGTAGTGAGATCACCTCTCTCATTACTGATGTTGGTAAATTTTGTCTTTTTTTTCTCTCATTGATGGCAGCAGCTGCAGCCATCATGCGGGCTACAGCAGGGAGGCATGGCTGGGCCTGCATACTCCATGAAGCTGGTGGGAGCCCCACCCCTTCTGAGTTGGGGTATGAGTTCCCTGGTGCGGCTGCAGACCCAGGCCTCCTGCTCTACGGAGCAGGCTGTAGCCCAGCCCAAACTGCAGCTGTGGATCCAAGCTTCCCTGTGCTCTTGGAGGGGGCTGGGAACCGACAGGATCTGCCCTCCTGGGTACAGCTGCAGCCACCCAACCCACTGCTGCAGACCTGGGCTTCCGGCTCCATGGAGCAGGCAGGAGACGGAGACAAGCAGAAGCCCCGCCCCTTCTGAGTTGGCTGGGTGGGAGCTCCCTGGGTGCAACTAAGGCCACCCTCCCAGGCACAGGACCCTGGCATCTTGGCAGCCTGCACCCGCCACCCCCTGCTGGCTCCGGGATGTCTGCTCTCACTGCCTGGCCTCTCTCCTCTTCTGGCACCCTCTTTAATCTCCCAACAGGGTTGGTCGAGCCCTGGGGACTTGAATGGCAGGGGGAGGGAGAGTCCTGGGCAGAAGCGGATGGGTCCCCAGTAAAGCCCCACCTTCAAGCCGGGGAGGGCCTGAAGGCTGGGAGCCAGACTGCCAATCCTGTGGACAGGACTGGGGATCTGTCCCTCCTCTGGGCCGCCAATGGCTGCTCATGGACCAGTTGGCAGGTACTTCTTCCTTTCTGAGGTCCATAAAAGCCCTGGGCTCTGCCAGAGAGGGCAGAGGACAGAGAGACGATGGGATGACCAGCTGCAGAGACGAACTCTCCCCTCTACTGAGAGCTTCAGAGACCTGCAGAGACCTCCAAATGACCAGCCTGCAGAGAGGAGCCACACTCGCCAGGGCCTCCTCTCTGCTGAAAGCTGAACACTCCACCGGACGACCTGCCTGCAGAGAGGAGCTACCCACTGTGGGTCTTCTCTGAGCTGTTCTAACACTAAATAAAACTCCTCTTA
This sequence comes from Homo sapiens, assembly GCF_000001405.40. Classification (NCBI taxonomy): domain Eukaryota; kingdom Metazoa; phylum Chordata; class Mammalia; order Primates; family Hominidae; genus Homo; species Homo sapiens. The sequence continues at coordinate 62,925,312 of NC_000009.12, read as the reverse complement.
ATCTTCTTCGCCATTCCTTTGTCTGCGTACCTCATTCCTCCTGGATGCAGGACAAGAACTCAGGCAAAGATGCCACTGTCCACAGAGGTTTCTGGGCAAGAAAATCGACACCCCAAAGATCCTGTAACATCATGATTGGCTGTCTCCACATTTACATCATACAATTCAATTACAAACCACTGCAAAGCAGCACTTATTGATGAAGAGCTGGCTCGTGAGCTGTAAGTGGACATGCCATCAGTGGTGGCAGGTTGTAGCTTAGTAACTTGAAATGATACTTTTTTTACATTCCTCTCTGCCCTCACGTGGTGCTAATAATTGTCATAAAAGGGAGTATATGACTCCACCATGACCTCAAAAGGCCTATTCCCCATCTTAAAGGAAAATGTCACTTTTCTGGTGCTAGAAATTGTAGATATGAGAGTTGCTCAAGTTCATTTATAGTGAAGAGAAGTTAGTAGTGTATTTATACAAGCCTAACACTATGAAATGCATATATTTATTAAATACTATGGAAGGAGCCAATGGCAGTGATCCAGAAAACATATGCTTTTCAGTTGAGATAGAAGAGCAAAAGAAATCTCTATTCCTATTGCAGAGAAAAAATAGTAAATATATTTGCTCATAACAACATAACTAAACTGTTTGTGGCTTAATAAATAAAAATATAGTTATTTAAAGGTGGTTCAAGGTTTCCTATATAATCTTCCATTCCCCAAATGTGAATTTGCACAGTAACGAATTAAAAATAAAACAAAGCAATATTACTTGTCAGTTCAATCAAATAACTTTGTAATTTAGCAGAAAATAAATTGCACCAGTTTGGTTTAAAGCCCTAACTACACATCTATAGTTTCCTTAAATTAATTAAAAGAAGTCATGCAATTTTCACAGAATATCACATGCATGTTATCCATTTTAATTTCTCTTAAAAATGGGTTAGTTGCCATTATCAAACTTTAGACAAGAAATCAAACAGATAAAGTAACAATGAAAGCAACTTAGACATTAGCTGAAGGGTTTATTCCTAATTGCTGAGTACCCATGCTTTATCCACAAAGGGTGATTTACCATTTCTATAAACTGATAGTGAGCTATCCAAAATGGAAATTAAGAATACAATCCCGGCTGGGCACGGCGGTCACGCCTGTAATCCCAGCACTTTGGGAGGCCGAGGTGGGCAGATCACCTGAGGTCAGGAATTAGAGTGACCAGCCTGATCAACATGGTGAAACCCTGTCTCTACTAAAAAATACAAAAAAAATTAGCCGGGCATGATGGCGGGTGCCTGTAATCCCAGCTACTCGGGAGCCTGAAGCAGGAGAATCGCTTGAACCTGGGAGGCAGAAAAAAAAAAAAAGAATGCAATCCAATTACAATAGCAACAAAAAACTTATAAAATACTTAGGTGTAAATTTAACCAAGGAGGTGAAAGAACTGTACACTGAAAACTATAAAACACTGATGAAAGAAAATGGAAGAAAACACAAATAAATGGAAAGATATTTTATGTCCACAAAGTAGAACAATTAATAGTCTAGTTTTTATTTTTAATTTTTATGAAAACATAATAGTTGTACATATTTATAGAGTACCTGTGATATTTTGATACAAGCATACAGTGTGTAATGATCAGATATGGGTAACTGGGATATTCATTACCTCAAACATTTATTGTTTTCTTGTGTTGAGAACGTTGTGAAATACAAAATAAATTACTGTTAACTATAGTTGCCCTATTGTGCTACCAAACACTAGATCTTACTCCTTCTATCTATCTAACTGTATTTTATATCCATTAACCAACCCCTTTTCATGCCCTCCTCCCACTACCCTTCCCAGTTTTTGCTAAACACCATTCTGTTCACTACCTCCCATTTTTTTAGCCCACACATATGAGTAAAAGCATGATATTTGTCTTCCTGTATCTGGCTTATTTCACTTAACATAATGTCCTCCAATTCCATCTATGTTGCTACAAATGACAGAATTTCATTCTTTCTTCTGGCTGAATAATATTCCATTGTGTATATATACCATATTTCCTTTACCCATTCATTCATTGATGGATACTTAGGTTGATTCCATATTTTGGCTATTGTGAATAGTGCTGCTGCAATAAACATGGGAATGCAGATATCTCTTTGATACACTGAGTTCTTATCTTTTGGCCATATACCAACTAGTGGGATTGCTGGATCATATGGTAGTTCTATGGTTAGTTTTATTGACAAATCTCCACAGTGCTTTTCAGTGTGGAGATTTCCAGTAGCTGTACGAATTTACATTCCTACCAGCAGTGTATGAGCACTTCCCTTTCTCCACATCCTCCTTATCATTTGTCATTTTCTGTCTTTTTGATAATAGCCACTTTAACTGGGGTGCAAGGATATCTCATTGTGATTTTGATTTGCATTTCTGTGATCATCAATCATGTTGAGCATTTTTTCATTTATGTGTTGGCCATTTGATTTTCTTCTTTTGAGAAATATGTCTATTCAGATCTTTTGCCCCTTTCAAAATCAGAGTATTTGTTGTTGTGTTTTTTTTTTTTTTGCTATTGAGTTGTTTGAGCATCATGGTGTATTCTGATTATTAATCCCTTATCCGATGAATACTTTGCAAATATTTTCTCCCATTCTGTAGGTTGTCTCTTCACGTTGTTGATTTTTTCCTTTCCTGTGCAGAAGGTTTTTCATTCGATGTAATCCCATTTGTCAATTTTTGCTGTGGTTTCCTGTGCTTTTGAGGTCTTACTCAATAAATCTTTGCTCGGACCAATGTCCTGAAGGATTTTACCTAAGTTTTGTTCTAGTAGGTTCACAGTTTTGAGGCTTACATTTAACTCTGTAATCCATTTTAAGTTGATTTTTGTATATGGTGAGAGATCAGGGTCAAGCTCCACTCTTCTGCATATGGTTACTCAGTTTTCCCAGCACCATTTATTAAAGATACTGTTCTTTCCCCAGTGTATGTTCTTAGGGCCTTTGATGAAAATCAGTTGGCTATAAATACATGGATTTGTTTCTGTGTTCTCTATTTCGTTCCTTTGGTGTATATGTCTGTTTTTATGCCATAAACATGCTTTTTATTTTTTATCACTGCAGCTTTGTAGTATATTTTGAAGTCAGATAGTGTGATGTCTCCAGCTTTGTTCTTTTTGTTCAGGGTTGCTTTGTATACTCAGGCTTTTTTGTGATTTCACATGAATTTTAGGCTTGCTTTTTCTATATCTGTGAAGAATGTCACTTGATAGGAATTGTCTTGAGTCTATAGTTAACATTGGGTAGTATGGACATTTTAACAATATTAATTTTTCTAATTCATGAATATGAGTTTTTTTATTTTTTGTGTCCTCTTCAATTTCTTTTATCAGTGTTTTACAGTTTTTATTGTACAGATCTTTTACCTCTTTGGTTAAATTTATTCCTAGGCATTTTATATTTTTGTAGCTATGGTGAATGGGATTGCTTCCTTGATTTTCAGATTGTTCACTATTGGCATATGGAAATGCCACTGGTTTTTGTATGTTGATTTTGTATTCTGCCACTTTGCTGAAATAGTTAACCAGTTGTAACAGCTTTTTAGTGAAGTCTTTAGCTTATCCTAAATATAAGATCATGTCATTTGCAAACAGTGACAATTTGACTTCCTCTTTTCCAATGCTCTTTATTTCTTTTTTAATAGCTCTGTCTAGGACTCTTTCACCACTTTTCAATAAAAGAAAACGATGTGATTGACCACTTTTCAATAAAAGTGGTGAAAGTAAATATCCTTGTCTTGTTCTAGATCTTAGAGAAAGGATCTTAGGGGAAAGTGAATATCTTTGTCTTGTTCTATGTTAGAGAAAAGGCTTTCAACTTTTCCCTATTCAGTACGATGTTAACCGTGGGTTTATCATATATGAACATTAATGTTTTAAGGTATGTTCTTTCTATACCTAATTTGTTGAGAGGGTTTTTTTTTAATCACAAAGAGGAGTTGAATTTTATCAAACACTACTTCTGTGTCTATTGAGATAATCACAAGGTTTTGTTCTTTATTCTCTTGATGTGATGTATGTGATGTATCACATTTATTGATATTTGTAGGTTGAAGCATCCTTGCATCCCTGGGGGAAAATACCACCTGATCATGGTGTATAATCTTTTTTCTGTGCTGTTGGATTTTGTTTTCTAGGGTTTTTTTTTAAAAGAGTTTTGCATTTATGCTCATTAAAAATATTGGCCTATAGTTTTTTTTGTTGTGTCCTTGTCTGGTTTTGGTATCAGGGTAATGCTGGCCTTAAAAAAGATTTGGAAGCATTCTCTCCCCTTTGATTTTTCAAAATAGTTTGAGAATAATTGGCATTAGCTTATCTTTAAAAGTTAGGTAGGATTCATCTGTAAAGCCATATGGTCCTAGACTTTTCTTTGTTAGACTTTTTATTACTGATTCAATCACATTATTCATTATTGTTCTATTCAGGTTTCCTGTTTCTTCATGGTTCAATCTTGGTAGGTTATATGTGTCCAAGAATATATCTATTTTATAAGTTTTCAATTTGTTGATGTAAATTGTTCATAATGGTCTGTAATGACCTTTTGTATTTCTGTTTTATCAGTTGTAATATCTCCTTTTTATCTCTGATTCTATTCCATTGAGTTTTTCTTTTCATTAGTCTACCTAAAGATTTGTTGATTTTGTCTACCTTTTCAAAACAATATTTTCATTTGGTTGATCTTTCATATTTTTAGTCTCAATTTTATTTATTTTTGTTGTGATCTTTAGTATTTCTTCTTCCTGTAATTTTGGGTTTGATTTATTCTTGCTTTTCTAGTTTCATGAGGTGCATCATTATATTTGAAATCTTTCTACCTTTTTATATAGGCATTTATTTCTATAAACTACCCCTCTTAGTACTGCTGCTGCTTTTGATATATAACATAAATTTTGGTATGTTGTGTTTCTATTTTTATTTGTTTTAAGAAATTCTTAAATATTCTTTTTAATTTCGTTATTTACCCATTGGTTGTTCAGGAGCATGTTGTATTGGTGCATTTTCCAAAGTTCCTCTTGTTATTGATTTCTAGTTTTATTCCATTGTGGTCAAAAAAGATACTTGATGTGATTTTAATTTTTAAAAATGTGTTGAGACTTGTTTTGTGGCCTAACATATGGTCTATGCTGAAGAATGCTCCATGTGCTCATGAGAAGAATATATACACGTTCTCCAGCTGTTGAATGACATTTTCTGTAAAAGTTAGGTTTATTTGCTCTAGAGTGTAGTTTAAGTCCAATGTTCCTTTGCTGATTTTCTCTTTGGATGATCTGTTCGGTGCTGAAAGTAGGGTGTTGAAGTCTCCTATTATTGAAATGCAGTCTGTCTCTCCCTTTAGATCTAGTATTTGCTCTGGTGTTGGGTGGGTGTATACTCATAATTGTTATACCTTCTTGCTGAATTGATCCTTTTATCATTATATAATAATCTCCTTTGTCTCTTTTTAGGATTTCTAATGTGAAGTCTATTTTATCTGATAAAAGTACAACTACTGCTGCTTTCTTTTGCTTTCCATTTGTATGGAATATCTTCATGTGTCCTTACGGGTGAGGTGAGTCTTTTGTCGGCAGCATATAGCTGGGTCTTTAAAAAAATACCTCATTTAGCCACTATGTATCTTTTAACTGCAGAATTTAATCCATTTACATTCTAGGTTATTATTGACACGTATGAACTTACTCTTGCCATTGTTAAAGTGTTTTCTAGTTGCTTTGTAGAGCCTTTGGTCCCTTCTTCTTCTCTTGCTTTCTTCTCTTGTGGCTTCATGGCTCTCTGTAGTAGTATGTTTTGGTTCTTTTCCTTTTATCTTTTGTGTATCCATTACAGGTTTTGCTTTGTGACTACCCTGTGGCTTACATAAAACATGTTATACTTATAACAGGTTAATTTAAGCTGATAACAGTTAATTTTGGTTGCATACACAAACTTTTCACTCTAACTTCCTTTTCTCCCATGTTTGATGTTTTTGATGTCACACTTTACATCTTTTTATAATAACAAAAATAACATAAGTAATAATTTCATATACAATAATATAAATAAAAATAATAGGCCTCCTCAGCCACTCAGGCCTTTGCTGCTCCTCCAGAGAGGGACTTGCAAACATTCAAAGAATTTGCACGCCATAGACAAGGCCAGGAAGAACTGTGACCGGATTCACAAGGCCTTCCCAGGCCTTACTGGGCATCCTTACCTGGTGCCCACAAACAGGGAGTACTTAGAACATATTTTCTGGTGCCTCTGATGACAGGCACTGCTTTGGACTGGAGTGGAAAGTAGGGCACCAAACCCATCCCTGGGGCCTTCACTTTCTAGCCAGATGCAGTCCCCCACCCCCAACCAGGGGTCTTAAGAAACTTTCTGGAGACTCATCGGGCCAACCAGACCCATGCAACAAGGTACCCTTCTCAGGCCTTCACACCTGGCCCCATCTGAGCAGCCCCCAAAGCCTTCCTGACCACTGGCTCCCACCCAGGCTCTCCCCAGTTCCATGGTCCATTCAGATTTGTCCTGGCCTCCAGAGAGGGGTTTAGATAAATTTTGCAGGGTGCCTCCTATGACCAATCCCCACTCAGTCCACCAGGTGGAAGGGATGCCCACCCTGGCCTCCATGACTAGTTAGGGAATGTCTCAGCTAGCTAATTGGGAAAGAGAAACGTTTTAGGGAGTGCTGTATGCAACTGTGCCCCACGCAAAACTGTAGCCATGTCAGAGACCCTTCCTGGAGGCTCCCTGTCCAGCTTTGACTGATCTCTGTAGGAAATACAGACATTCCCATAGGGGAAGTAAGAAACTCTTGGAGACATTAGTTGTATTTTTGTTTTCATGTAGTTCAAAGAATAATTTTAATTTCTGTTGAGATTTCTTCTTGACCCTTATGTTATTTAGACGTGTATTTCTGAATATCCAAGTATTTTGAGATTGCCCAGCTATCATTCTATTACTGGTTTGTATAATAGTTTCCAGTGTTTTCGGAGAGCAGGTATGGCATGGTTTTTATACTTTGAAATGTGTTAAGGTGGGCTTTATGGCCCAGAATGTGGCCTATCTTGGTGAATGCTCCATGTGAGAGTGAAAAGAATATGTATTCTGCTGTCATTACACTAAGTAGGCTATAGATGTTAATTACTTCCAGTTGTTTGATGATGCTGTTTAGTTCTACCATATTTTATTGATTTTCTATCTATTGGATCTCTCCATTTCTGATAGAGGGTGTTGATGTTTACAACTATGATTGTGAATTCTTTTATTTATCCTTGCAGTTCTATCAGTTTTTTGCCTCACATATTTTACCACTCTTGTTAGGTGCACACACATTAAGAATTGTTACATTTTCTCAGATAATTCACTTTTTGTTATCAAGCAGTGCCTATATTCATCCAGAATTATCTTTTCTCTCCGAAGTCTACTCTGTCTGAAAACTAATATAGCTGCTTCAGCTTTCTTTTAATTATTGTTAACCTTGTATATCTTTTTCCATTTCCTACTTCAAAACTATATGTCTTTGCATTTAAAGTGAGTTTCTTGTAAACAATGTATAGTTGGGTCTTTTTTGTGGGGGATCAACTCAGATGAACTCAGTCTTTAATTGGTGTATGTAGAGCATTGACATTAAAGGTGATTACAGATGCAGTTAGATTGGTATTTATCATGTCTGTTATTATTCTCTATTTGTTGTCCTGTTTTTTTCTTCCTATTTTTGCCTTCCACTCTTTTCCTGCCTTTTGTGGTTTTAACTGAGCATTTTATATGGTTCCATTTTCTCTCCCATTTAAGCATGTAAATTCTTCCTTTCTTTTTACTGTTAAAAAACCTTTCTATTGGTTGCCCTAGATTTTGGAATGTACATTTACCATTAGTACAAGTCTACTTTCAAGTAATACTATATTGCTTTATGAGTAGTGCAAGTATTTTATAATAACAAAATATTTCTAACTCTTCCCTCCTAGTTTATATCATTGCTATTATTCATTTAACTTATCAATAAATTATAAACATCTAATAACTATTGCTATCATTATTTTGAACAAATTATTTATTAGCTGCTATATCAATTGAAAATAAGAAAATGCAAAGTTTTTACTTCACATTCATATATTCATTTTTTATATTCTTCCTTTATGTAGATCCAAATGTCTTACTTTTCTCTTAAGAACTTCTTTTAACTTATTCCAACATTTCTTGCATGCAGGTCCACCAGCAACAAATTGCCTCAATTTTTGTTTTCTACAAAAGTCTCTGCCAGGCACAGTAGCTCACACCTGTAATCCCAGCACTTTGGGAGGCCAAGGCAGGTGGATCACTTGAGGTCAGGAGATCAAGACCGGCCTGGCCAACATGGTGAAAACCCACCTCTACTAAAAATACAAAAATTAGCTGGGCCTGGTGGTGTGTGCCTGTAATCCCAGCTACTCAGGAGGCTGAGGCAGAAGAATCACTTGAACCTGGGAGGCGGAGGTTGCAGTGAGCCAAGATCACGCCATTGCACTCTGCACCCCAGCCTGGGTGACAGAGTGAGACTCCATCTCAGAAAGAAAAAAAAAAGTGTTTAATTCTCCTTCACTTTTGAAGACTATTTTGTCTAAGGCATTCATGGTATCGCAGTATGATTCTAATTTGCATTCTCATGAATTTGCTATTTTCATTTACTGTTTCATCATGGACATTTTTCCATGTTACTACATGTAAGTCTCCCGCCCTGAAGAAATAAACCAAAACATAAATTAACGGTACTGTATAGATGTACCAGAATTTTTTAAACCTGGCTCCTCTGAATGGCTATGTTTTCTTTATTTTTTGTTATTAGAAGTAATGGTGAAATCAGTATTCTTATCACACATGTATTTGCACCGATGTTCCCCACACCCATTTGTTGTCATTTGACTTTGTCCTGGTACGTGCACAGATAAATTTTCTTTAAACTTTATGCTATCAAGTTAATCAATCGTGTCCTTGATGGCTTTCGAGTTGTCTTTGTTGTATACATGCCTTTTTATTTTTATTTTAAGAGACAGCGGTCTATTTGTGTTGCCCAGGCTGGTCTCAAACTGCTAGCCTCAAGCGATCCTCTCGCCTCAGCCTCCCAAGTCGCTAGGATTACAGGCGTGAACAACCGTGACGGGCTCTGTTCTATGCTTTAAAGATCTTCTCTGTTCAGAAATTTTAGAATTAAAGTGTTTTCAACAAAGCTTTCATGGTTGCAGTTTTTCATCCCATACCTGAGGGCACGGTATTTTCTAAGTCCGCTTGCGCGGCTCTGGAAAGCCCGGCCTGGCAGGGCGCCCGGCCCGCAGGCTCGCGGTTACATTTTCCACGGGCCAGACTGGGAATCAGGTAGGGAGAGTCTGTACTCTTCCCAGCAGTCAGCCTTCCCTTATGCTGCTGGGGACGCGTCGTGCTGACCCGGAGCTCGGAGAGGAGCCAGACGCGCTCCACCCACTCAGGTCTGAGAAGCGATCCGACATGGACTACTGCCATTTGCGCCGTTGTCGGGCTCCACCTGGCGGCCGATGTTACGTATTGCACTTGTTCTCTGGAGCTCCCGCGAGAGAGAGAAGTGGCCGCTGTGCACCAGCGTCGAGTTCCAGGATGTCCCTAGCGTTAGCAGGATTGTTCCGCCTGCTAGCAAAGCATTCGCTCCCCATCTGTTCGTGGGAGCTTGGACCTACAGCTTAAGGTCGGAGGAGGCTCTTGTCGCGCTCTTAGCCCTGGATGCTCTGTGGTGGGGCAACATGCGGGTCGACCAGCAACCCCCAGTGCCTGCCCCTCCAACACGAGACCTATCGGGGTCAACACGAACCATCTTGAAAGGGTGTTTGGAGGCCTCCCCGCGTGTGTCCCGATACCAGTACCTTCCATTTGACCCCATTTTCCTCAAGTTCTGCCTCAGAGGTGGGGACCGGCAGCTGTACTCAGAGGACCGCGGAGGGGGCTCCACCAGCCTGCACTAGGTCCCGCGTCGGTGCGCATCCTCAGACCTGCCTTTTCCGAGGCCCGCTTGGGAGGTGACAAGGGACTGGAGAAGAACCAGGTGCCCCGGGGAGGGCGTCTCAGATTCTGTCTGTGTGGAGCAGGACCCTGACGCCACGGGGAGGTTCCTTATGTTTTTGGCCTCTTCCCACATACCTTAACCTCTTCCCAAATACTGGGAACCCCAGGATTCATTTGGCTGCCGAAACTGTCCAAGCTCTAGGCTGCAGGCACCAACCTATTCCAGTATAGTCCTTTGCTCCAGGACACCTGGGCCGCTTTCCTGAGGGAAGAACATTCCCTTTATCAGGCAGAGACCCTGGCCACCCATGCCATTCACAAGCTGTTCCTGCCAGATCTGCCGGCACTCAGTCATCCTGGGCCATCAGGCTACTGAGTTCCGGGAGATGGTGAGTGCTCAGGGTGTGTGTGTGGCCGGCCAGAGGTGTCAGAGCCCAAAGTAGCTGGGAAGTAGCCAGAGGAAAGCCAAGTCCCCAGTCATCTGATGCTAACCTCGAACTTCTCATCCTTCTCCTTCCTCCTGCATTGCTCCTTCCAGGCATTCTTTAATCACAGCTGTATTGGAGGCTGGGATTCCAGACCCAGCACTAACAGGGTACAGCCACAGCTGCAGCATCTCACCGTGACCTAGAGCCTGGCCCAGCTACCCAACTCAGGCAGTTCATCTAGCACAGCATCCCTGGGAGGTGGCCACTGTGAGATTCACTTCGGATTAGGAACTGAGGCTCCAAAGCCACAAGTGACTTGCCCAACATCAGGTAGAAGGATTAGAATTTAGGTCTGCCAGCCTCTAAAGCTGTCTCCCAAAGAATAGACCATTAACCAAGGAGACAGGTTATTTCCAGGTAATACAATGAAGTAATGTAACTACAAAGAAGGATGAGTAATCATGGTGGGGGCAGGATGGGGGGGCTCTCCCTGCATCTGTCTCTTTTCTTCCTCCTGCCCCCAGGCCCAGCCACTGAACACGCTCCTGGACCTTGACGTGCTGGGCTTCCATGTTGTCCTGTCTTGGCTCAGACACCACAGAAGGATCACTCCCCTTCCGGTGATAATGGAGTTCTTCATTACTAAAGTGTGCAGTCATGAAATCCATTACTAACCCTGAGACTCTCGGGCAAGAGGTGACAGGTCAGCTAAGTGGGAGAACAGTAGCAAAGTATAATGGAATAAGATGGGGAGGCTTCCAATCAGAGAAGGACAGTAAACACAGACACAAGCTGGGTGGCCTCCACACCTGTATTCAGTCCCCCAAGGTACTGTGGGGAAGAAGACATCTGCAACTCAGTAAAATCACATCTAAATCCTTAAAAAGGATTCTTCTCCTCTATACATTAGTCAAAACCCTCATGGGTACTTTATCCAGATATGAACATAAAATAGTATTTTCTGCACATCTAATTAGCAACAATTCAGGACCATTACAATAGTCCAGGTGGCGAGGACCAGTGAGATCCTTTGATGCTTCTCTTGAAAAATGTACATGGTGCCATTTTTTGCAGCATCATTTGGCAATATGTATTAAGAAGCTGTAAAATGTTTACAGCCTTTGACCTACAAATCGTACCTCTGGGAATTTTTAGGAATATAATATTCAGAGATGCTGACAAAGACCTGTGTACAGAATGTTCGTTGCAAACCAGCTCTGTTCTATGCTTTAAAGAGCCCATTATTCACAATAGCTGAAAATTGGAAGCAACTTCCATGACCAATGAATAGGAAAAAAGTAAAGAAAATTGTTGGGGTCGGGGGACTCTACAATAAAAATCATAATACTTTCCAAATGTTTTAGAAAGAATGTTGATGCTACGGGGGAAATGAGGGAGCTTCCTAATGAAGCATATTAAACTTAATAGATCTCAAAGGCGACTCTCGTTTTCACACTCAAATATGACTCTTCCTTTTCTTCTCTCAGTGAAAAGCACTGAGATGGGAAAAGTCCCCAACTTCTCCCAGTTTCCCACGTCAAAAATCTAGAATTTGTTCTTGATTCTTTCCTTTCTCTCTCACTGGACAGCCACTGCTACAATCAGTCCTGCTGGGGCTGTTTCAAATGAATACCTCTGGGCCATCCCCTTCCCTATCTTCACCCTCCCACTTCCTCGTCTTCCTCTCCTCTCTTTTCCTCCCTCCTTGTCCCTTATCTACTCCCTCCCCTCCTTGCCCTTCTCTTCATCTCCCTTACCCTATTACTCCCTCCTCTCCCTATCTGCGCCTGTCCCTCCCCTTCCCACCCCACCTTACCCTGCCATCACTTCATTCTCACTAGGTCTCCTCTCTCAGGGATGACCCCAATGTCCTTCTGCTACTTGAGGGGCTCCCAGCTTCCTTCTTTAGCCCAGAGCCCCTTCTGTGCCCACAGCCAGAGGCCTCCCATGGAATGTAAGTCCTTCACTCACTCCCTGTTGGACTCCCCACAAGTGGATTCCTTGCTACTTAGAGCAAAACACAAAGCTCTTCCTGTGGAACTGAGCTTCGACTGGTGGGGGACATAAGAGGCAGCCACTGGCCCAACCAGCCAAGGCCTAAAGCTCGCAGAAGAGAAATTCTCATTAGCAGAATTTTCAGTCGTTGGAGCTGAGCTGCAGGATGTTTGAGTGTGGAGACCTAGCACAAAATGTACCAATGGGGGGCTGGTCCGAGTCTTCAGTCCCCTACCATGCTCCCTACCTCTATACTGTGTGCTCCTGTCACTCTAGCTTCCTTCTGCATGGAATGCCTCCTTTCTATTTTCTGTGGTCACACCTCTGCAGTGAGCCCCATGAGACCCACCAACTTCAGAAGCTGCCCCTGACACCTCTAGCAGTAGACAGGTGTGTCCTGTGCTGTCCATGCCCTTCCTTTGTACCTATAAGCTGGTGACTCTGTTCTATAAATAGTTAGGTCCCTGTCTCATCTTCCCAGCCGGACTGTGAGGTATTCATGGTGGGATCTATGTCTGATCCATCTCAGGGAGTCCCGTGGAGCTTGACCTAATGCCCGGCATGTGGGAATCCCAGAGAGGAAACAGCATGTGCAAAGGCTGGAGACCTGATGGCACCTGTGGCAATACGGAAGAGTCCATGTGTGTAAAGGGCAACAAAATAGAGCAGTATTAGATAAAATAAATATTCTTGAGTGCATACTGATATAAATAAATGATTAAATAAGTTAATGAATGAGGGAAAGGAGATAAATTTCCCATGCAGGATTTCAAATGAATTATGTTATATATTCCATCCCAAAGGAGAGCGAGAATAACTCCCCACTCCTTATGTGTGGGCTGCACACAGTGACTTATTCTCCAAAGAGGACGGTATGGAAGAGGGGGAAAAAGAGAAACTGCAGTGGAGAATCCTGATGAGCACTACCTCTGCCAGATCTTTAGTGATGTCAGTCATCCCCTTTTTATATTCATAATTTTCTCTTTTTTCCCAATCAATCCAGCTGGAGATTTGTCGTTTTCATTGATCTTTCCCAAAGAACACGTTTTTGGATTCATTGATTTTTTTTCCTTTTTTTATTTCATTGATTCCCATTTTGATCTTTATTATTCCCTTTCTTTTGGTTACTTTAGATTTAATTTGCTCTTCCTCATATATATTTTGAGACAGAATCTTGCTCTGTTGCCCAGGCTGGAGTGCAGTGGCACAATCTCGGCTCACTGCAACCACCACCTCCTGGGTTCAAGTGACTCTCCTGCCTCAGCCTCCCAAGTAGCTGGGATTACAGGTGCCAGCCACCATACCCAGCTAATTTTTGTATTTTTAGTAGAGATGGAGTTTCACCATGTTGGGTAGGCTGGTCTCGAACTCCCAACCTCAGGTGATCTGTCTACCTCGACCTTCCCCAAGTGTTAGGATTACAGGCGTGAGCCACTGCGCCTGGGCGATATTCTTCAATTAGAAACTGAGGTTGCTGATCTGAGACCCTTATTCTTTTCTAATACAGTAATATCATAAATTTCCCTTCAGGTACTGCTTCAGTGACAACCGACAAATTCTTTGTTGTTTTTCTATTTCCAATAACTTCAAATAACTTTCTAATATTCCTTTAGATTTCTTCTTTGTCCTATGAGTTATTTAGAAGTGAGTTAATTTCCAAATATTTGGGGATATTTAAAGGATCTTTCTGTTACTGGTTTTTAATTTTATTCCATTGTGGCCTGAGAACATACTTTGTAGTTGAATACTTTTTTATTTATTGAGGTTTTTAATGGGCTATAATGTGGTCTATCTCCATAAATCTTCCGTGCACAGTTGAGAAAATGTGTATTTTGCTTTTATAGGGTGGAGTATTCTATAAATATAAATCAGGTCAAGTTGGTTGATGGTGTTGTTCAAGTCCAATACATTCTTGCTGATTTATTGCCTATTTATTCTATGAAGTGTTGAGAGTGGGATTAAAATCTCTGATGGTTATCTCTATCTCTACTTATTGTTTTATTACTTTTCTTCATACATTTTGAAGCTTTTTTTGTTAGGTACAAAAAGACGTAAGTTTGTTATGTCTTCTTCATTAACTAACCACATTATCAGTAAGAAATAATCTCTTTAATCCCTGGTAATAGTCTTTGCTCTGAAGTCTATTTTGGCATTCGTATAGCCACCTCAGCTTTCTTTTGACTAGTCTTGGCATGGTATATCTTTTTCCATCCTCTTACATCTAACCTATTTGCATCTTTATATTTAAACTACATTTCTTGGCCAGGTGTGGTGGCTCACACCTGTAATCCCAGTACTTTGGGAGGCCAAGGCAGGTGGATCACCTGATTTCAGGAGTATGAGACCAGCCTGGCCAAGATGGTGAAACTCCGTCTCTACTAAAAATACAAAAATTAGCTGGGTGTGGTGGCAGGGGCCTGTATTCCTAGCTATTTGGGAGGCTGAGGCAGGAGAATCGCTTGAACCCGGGAGGCAGAGGTTGCAGTGAGATCGCACTGTTCCACTCCATTGCACTCCAGCCTGGGCAACAAGAACAAAACTCCATCTCCAAAAATAAGTAAATAAATAAAGTACATTTCTTGTAAGCAAAATACAACCAGCTTTTAAAAAAATCCAATCTGACAACCTGTCTTCTAAATCAATTTAAATGTAATGTAATTCCTAATATGGTTGAGTCTCTTATCTTGCTATTGTTTTCTACTCATCACATCTGTCCTTTATTCTCTTTTACATCTTTTTCTGTCTTCTTTTGGATTTACCCAATATATTTTTATGATTCCATTTGATCTCCTTTGTTAGTTTAATAGCTGTAATCTTTTGGTTTGTTATCTTAGTGGTGGCTCCAGGGTTTACAGTGTACACCTTTAACTGATCACGGCTGACCTTCAGGTGACAGTAGATCACATCATGTACAGTTTAAGAATCTGAGAATAGTAAACTTCCCCCCTTTTAGTCTTTAAGCTCTTATTGTCATCCATTTTACTTTTACATATATTATAAACTGCATATTACTTTATTTCCTAAACAATTATCTTTTAGAGAAGTTTAAATAATATAAAGTATATATCCATGTTGTTACTATTTCTGGTATAGATACACGATGTTACTATTTCTGGTGTAGACCATTTCTTTGTGTGGATCCAGATTTCCATCTGGTATTGCTACGGGATCCTTGAGGTATTACTTCATCAGCCAAAAGCCTCTATGGCCAGTGGCGCCTTTTCCAGAGTTTTGCTCTGGATCTCTGGTCTTGTTCCACCCACTCGGCCTGGCAGGCTGTGCTCAGTTCCCACTATGAGCCTGGATCGCTTGTCTGCCAAGGGTAAGCCAGGCACGGAGGAGCAAGGGGTGTGTGAGCAAGCATGGGGTCCGGCCACTGCACACAGCCAGGCATGCCGGCTGAGGGGGGATAGGCGATGGGCAGGCAGCTTCAGGCACTGGCACGGGTGCCAGCTCCATGCAAGGCTGCAGCTAGACCAGGCATACCATAAGCAGCTTCCACGGCTGACACCAGGGAATGTGGTGGTGCCCAGAACCCTGAAGATGCCAGGAACCCACAGAGCCCTAAAGAGGGTGTCACAGCCCTGGCTCGGAGTTCCTAGGTCTGGGCTCCCTGAAGAGCCACAGCTCTTCTCTTCTCTCTTCTCATTGCTTGCAATGTGACAAACAAGGGGCATGTTTCAGCGCTGTTTGTGTTATAGCTATTTTAGCTCCGCCATTCAGCAGGTCTCCAGTTCTTGTCCTGAGACCAGGAAGAATGATATATGCAGACAAGTGGAAGGTGAACAAGATGAAGAGGAGCTTTACCGAGAGATAAGACAGCTCAGAGGAGACCCGCAGTGGGTAGCTCCTCTCCATAGCCAGGGTGTCCTGTTGAGTACTGAGCTCTCAGCAGAGAGGGCAGCTCCTCTCTGCAGGCAGGTCATCCCGTTGTCTCTTCAGCTCTCAGCACAGAGGGTATCTCCTCCCTGAAGACTGGCGGCCCACCCCCTAGGCTTCAGCCCCACCCCAGCTTGCAGGTGGGGCTTCATTGGAAACCTGCTCCCTTCCACCCAAGAGCCTGTTTGCCTCCTGTCATTGTTCATGGCACCCACGTTATTCATGCCAAGGAGTACCTGCAGGCCAGTGCCAAGCTGTCCTCAGCCCCACTTCAGCCTCCTTCCCATGCTTGTCAGCCTCCACAGTCCAAAGGGGGCCAAGGGGCTGGCATGTCAGCACTACTCCAAGCATGCACACATGCAGCTGGGATGCGAAAGTGCTGAGAGAGAGACAGTGCCCCAGGTTGTGAACTGTGACAGGAGCAGATGCTAACAGTAAGGAGAACACGGACAGTGGGAGCAGGCACTTCCTAGCCTGCAGGGAAAGGGGTGCCTTCCTGGGCCCCCAAGAGTACGGAGATTCCTGGGTCCACAGCTGCAGCTTGGGTGGCTGCAGCTGCACTTGGGAGGGCGGGGCTCCTGCCTACTCTTGGCTCCCAAGAGCACAGGAGTGCCCTGGTAGCAGCCACAGCTTGGGTGGCTGCAGTTGCACCTGGGAAGCTCCCACTCTACCAACTTTCTGGCTCCATAAAGCATGCAGCCCTAGCCATACCACTGGTCTGCATTTTCCCCTTAGTGGCAGCAGGCAAGGTGCGGGTGGCTGGTGGCCTCAGCCAACCCCGCGCAAACAAACCCAATGCTCCTGGGGCCACCCCACAAGTCCTGGCTGCACTATCAGCTCACAGACTCCTGAGACGCAGCACACAGCGAGATTGAAGGCACGGCAGAGGTTCCGGGCCTGCAGTGGGTCCTGCCCAGTTGTGCAAGGGTCGGGGTGGTGCAGTCAGCTGCCTCAGGGATGTAGGGCACAGGGGACCCACCACTACCACTGCTGCTCCCACAGCCACTCCTGCCACCACCACTTGTGCCTCCATACTGCAGCTGGCGTGATAACAGTGGCTGCTCCAGATGGCACACCGCTGCCATTAGTATCGTTTTCTTTATGCCTGAAGGACATCCCTTAACTTTTCTTATAGTGCAGGTCTGCAGGTAGTAAAGTCGTTCAGCTTTTTCGAGTCTGAAAACTTCTTTATTTCTTCATCTATTATTCTCTTTTTGATGACCGTTAGTTAAACCAATCCATTGAACTTTCCATTTCAATTATGATACTTTTCATTTCGTTTCTACTTGGTACTTTCCCCAATCTATTTGGTTATTTTCATGCTCAAGTTATTTCAACTCCTTTATTTCTTTAAGTATAAAACGCACTTTGTACTGTCTTTGGTAACTTGACTGTCTTAAGTTTTTGCAGGCCTGCTCTTTCTGTCCATTGTTTCTGCTGGCTCTTGCCGATTTTACATTTGTGATTTTTTATTGTGAACTTATATTCCTTGAAAGTATCTCAGAGTTTCTCCAAAGACAATCCATTTTGCATCTGTCAGTCACCTAGAAGGCACCAAAAAGCTGATATTGCTTTAAATTTGAAGCTTGAGACATTTTAGACCACCCAGGTTGTGTGAACAAACCAGTTAAAGGGCTATATATATATATATATATATATATATATATATACACACACATAAAACTCTCAGGGGAGATGTTTTCTCTCAGGATACCCAATGTTCCTCACTGTTCCTAGGGAAGCAGGGGTCAAGGGAAGCATACAGGGGGAGGCGGACAGGTTTATTCATAGTTCACCCTTACACTAAGTCTGTCCTTTTGGATCTCACTTTATGATGTCTCCTCTTAGCCCCTCCCACTTGGGCAGGCCCTCAGCTTTGTCTGCTGTTCTGCTGCCCCTTTTCCACCTCACGCTGTGAAAAACAGCAAAGTTTAGTTTGACAGGCAAATATCTGAAGGGTGAAAAGTGGCATCAGTGCCTTAGTTACTTCTTTGGGTTTCACTTCCATTTTAAAACTTTTTTAGCTTTTTGGAATTCTTATTTTGTAGCTCATTGACACATTTTTAAGAGGTTCTTGATATGTATTCCAGAAGCTTTAGTTGTTTCCAGCTGGTCCTTATCAGCCCTACTGTTGGAAATAAAATTCTTTCAACTTGTTCTTTAGCAATGTACAGGCTCCATAGAGCTCTCGCTGATCCTGAGGCAACAGGGTAAGAACGTCACTTAGGAATCAGGCTGGCCTGAGATCAAGTCTCAGATCCACCAGCAGTGTGACATCAGTGCCTCGCTTTCTTTATAGGGTTGGTGATATGGTTTGGCTCTGAGTCCCCAGCCAAATGTCATGTCGAATTGTAATTTCCAATTACAATTGGAAATTGAATCTTACAATTGGAAATTGATTATTGAATCATAGGTGTGGACATCCCCCTTGCTGTTCTTGTGATAGGGCTCTCATGAGATCTGGCTGTTTAATACTGTATATTAACTTCCCCTGTGCTCCTGCTGTCCATACGAAGATATGCTTCCTTCCCTTTCACCTTCTACCATGATTGTAAGTTTCCTGAGGCCTCCTCAGCCATGCTTCCTGTACAGCTTGTGGAACCATGAGCCAATTAAACCTTTTTTTCTTTATAAATTACCCAGTCTCAGGTACTTCCTTATAGCAATGTGAGAACAAACTAATACAGAAAATCGGTACCAGAGAAGTAGGGCATTGTTACAAAGATACCCGAAACTGTGGAAGCGACTTTGGACTTAGGTAATAGGCAGAGGTTGGAACAGTTTGGAAGGCTTATAAGAAGACATGAAGATGACGGCTGGGCATGGTAGCTCATGCCTGCAATCCCAGCACTTTGGGAGGGTGAAGCAGGTGGATCATTTGATGTCAGAGTTTCAAAGCCAGCCAGACCAACATGGTGAAACTCTGTCTCTACTAAAAATACAAAAAAAAATTAGGCGGGCATCATGGCGCATGCCTGTAATCCCAGCTACTCAGGAAGCTGAGGTAGGAGGATCATTTGAACCCAGGAGGCAGAGGTTGCAGTGAGCCAAGATTGTGCCACCGCATTCCAGCCTGGATAACAGAGTGAGACTCCATCTAAAAAAAACAAAAACAAAAACAAAAATGAAAACAAAACAAAAAAACAGAAGACAGGAAGAAAAGTTTGGAACTTCCTAGAGACTTGCTGAATGGTTGTGACTGAAATGCTCATATAGTGATACGGACAGTGAAATCCAGGCTGACGTGGTCTCAGATGGAGGTGAGGAACTTATTGGGAACTGGAGTTTGCAGTCACTCTTGCTATGTTTTAGCAAGGAGACTGGTGGCATTGTGCTCCTACTCTAGGGATCTGTGGAACTTCAAACTTTAGATGATTTAGGGCATCTGGCAGAAGAAATTTCTAAATTTCTAAACAGCAAAGCATTCAAGATATAACTTGGCTGCTTCTAACAGCATATGCTCATATACATTCACAAAGAGATGGTCTGAAATTGGAACTTATATTTAAAAGGGAAGCAGAGCATAAAAGATTGGAAAATTTGCAGCCTGACCATGTGGTAGAAAAGAAAAACCAAATTTCTGGTAAGACATTCAACTCAGCTGCAGGAATTTGCATAAGTAAAGAGGAGCAGAATGTGAATAGCCAAGATAATGGGGAAAATGCCTCCAGGGCATTTCAGAGATCTTCACAGTAGCCCTTCCCATCACAGGCCTGAAAGATTAGGAGGGAAAAATGGTTTCATGGCCTAGGCCCAGGACCCCACTGTTCTGTACAACCTCGGGACATGTCACCCTGAATCCCAGCTGCTTCAGCTCCAGCTGTGGCTAAAAGGGCCCCAGATACATCTCAGGCCACTGCATCAGAGGGTGCAGCCATAAGAAGCCTTTGTGGCTTCCATGTGGTTTTAAGCTTACAGGTGCAAGGAAGGCAAGAGTTGAGGCTTGGGAGTTTCCACCTAGATTTTAAACGTTGTATGATAATGCCTGGATGTCCAGGAGGAAGTCTGCTGTAGGGTCAGAGCCCTCATGGAGAGCCTTTACTAAAGCAGTCTGGAGGTGAAATGTGGGTTTGGAGGCCCCACTCAATGTCCGCACTGGGGCACTGCCTAGTGGAGCTGTGAGAAGAGGGCCACTGTCCTGCAGGCCAGAGAATGGTAGATCCATTGAAAGCTTTCACTGTGTGCCTGAAAAAGCCACAGGCACTCAATGCCAGCCCATGGAAGCAGTCACTGGGGAAGTACCCTGCAGAGCCATGGGGCAGAGCTGCCCAAGGCCTTGGGACCCCAACCCTTGCATCAGTTTGGCCTGGATGCACACCATGAGCAGTAATGGGAAAATTCTTATTGAAAAAGGCAAGAACAAATCAGCCCAGTGAGATGAATTACATGTTGCACTCCTTCCTGGGATGGAAGAATTGAACAATGATAGGATCTTCTACATTTCGGTTTTTACTTTTACTGACTCATGGGCAGTGGCCAATGGCCTGGCCATGTGACCAGGCAGAGGGACAATGGCAAACTGGGCTGTGAAAGGATGTCCACATGGAGCACAGCACTGCAGGAATTTAAAGGGCACATTAAAGTAGGTCATGTCAATGCCCACCTGAAGAACCCCTCCCAGGTTCAGTGATCAGATCTGGTAGGTGGATATCCTGGTGACCTTGAGGTGGCCACCTGGGCTTAACAAAGGAGTGGACACAGGGGAGCTGCAGCCGTGCAGGGATGGGCTGCTCAGCAACACGTCCCTCCTCCACCCTCAGAGGCACCAAATGCCAACAAGAACCGTCCTATCTGACAGCAGGAAGACAGAGACTGCAGGTGGCTATGGGGCAGATTCCCAGTGGGAAGGCACCACTCATAGCTAACAAGTAGATTATACCAGACTGAAGCCAGTATCCCTGGGAGGCTATAATGGGTCCTGACACGTTCTCTGGACTGGGCTTTGCATAGTCATTAGATTCAAATCCCAAAAATACTATAAAAGAACTGGAACAGATGATAAGACATCAACTTGGACCACCAAGTTTTATTTCTTCAGGCCAAAGAACACATTTATGGCCCACAGTGTCCTATAATGGACATACCATGTTGCATATTGTCTTCATCTCCTAGGGCTGCCATAACAAAGTGCCACAAACCATATGGCTGACTTACAAAACAAAATGCACTGTCTCACAGTTCTGGAGACTAGAAGTCTGAGATCAAGTTCTTGGCAGGGCTGGATCCTTCTGAGGGCTGTGAGGAAGAATCTAATCCACACTTCTCTCCTAGCTTCTGGTGGTTTGCTGGCAATCTTTGGCATCCCTGGGCTTGTAGAATTCTGCCTTCATCTTCATATGGCATATCCCCTGTGTTATCTCTGTGCACAAATTTCCCTTTTTTATAAAGACACAAATCATATTGGATTGGGGGCCCACCCTATTACAGCATGACCTCATCTTAACTAATTACATTAACAACAATCCCATTTTCAAAAAAGGTCATGTTCTTAGGTACTGGGGGTTCTGAGTTCAGCATATGAAATTTTTATTTAGGGTAACATATATCCCTTTTTTCAGTTTTTATTGTGTTAAAACACACATAAAATTTACCATCTTAACCATTTTAAGTGTACAATTCAGTGGTATTAAATACATTGATAATGTTGTACAAGTATCCCCACAACCCATCTGCAAAACTCTCTTCATCTTGTAAAACTGAAATGATATTTATTAAAACCTAACCCCTACCCCCTCTTCCCAGCCTCTGGCAACCACCATTCTACCTTCTGTCTATGAAGTTGAATATTCTAGGCCCCTCATTTAAATGGAATCATGCAGTATTTGTTTTTGTGACAGGCTTATTTCACCTAGCATAATGTACTCAAGGTGCATCCATGTTATAGCATATGTCTATATGCTATATAGACATTTTCTTCCTTTTGGAAGCTGAATAATATTCCACTGTATGTATGTATATGTCAGATTTTGTTTTTCCATTCATCCCTCAATGAATGCTTAGATTATTTCCCTTTTGGCTATTGTGTCTAATGCTGCTATGAACACGGGTGTACAGATATCTCTTTGAGACCCTGCTTTCAATTATTTTGGTATTCCACCCAGAAGTGGAAATGCTGGATCATAGGGTAATTCTGTTTCTAATTTCTTGAGGAATCACCGTATTGTTTTCCATACTAGATGTACGGTTTTATATTCCCACCAACAGGAATATAAGCATTCCAAACATGAATTTTGTGGGAACATATTTCAAACCATAGCAGTCACCAAAAGCTCAAGCAACAAAACAAAAAATAGATCAGGTCAATTTCATTAAAAAGTTCTGTGTTTCAAAGTTGACATGGTTTGGCTGTGTCCCCACCCAAATCTCATCTTGAGTTGTAACTCCCAGAATTCTCATGTGTTGTGGGAGGAACCCAGTGGAAGGTGACTGAATTATGGGGGCAGGTCTTTCTTGTGCTGTTCTCATGATAGTGAATGAGTCTCACGAGATCTGATGGTTTTAAAAATGAGAGTTTCCCTGCACAAGCTCTCACTTTGCCTGCTGCCATCCATGTAAGACGTGACTTGCTCCTCCTTGCCTTTCATCTTTCGCCATGATTGTGTGGTCTCCCCAGCCACATGGAACTGTGAGTCCAATAAACCTCCTTCTTTTGTAAATTGACCAGTCTCAGGTATGTCTTTATCAGCAGCATGAAAACAGACTAATACAAAGGTTACATAAGAAAATAAGGACAACCACAGAATGGGACAAAAACTTATAAGTCCTATATCTGATAAGGAACACATGTTCCAGACGATATAACCACTCTTACAACTCAATAAAAAGACAACGCAATTTAAAAATGGGCAAAAGATGAATAGACATTTCTTCAAAAACATGAAAAATGGCCAATAAGCATGTGAGAAGGTGCTCAATAACATTCATTATTAGGGAAATGCAAATCAAAACACAATGATACACCACGTCACCCCAATGAGATAACTAAATTCAAAAGACAAACAATAAGGAGTGTCAGCAAGAACAGGAAACTGGATAATAACCTTCATTCAATGCTGAGGGAATGTAAAACCTTTTCTGTTTTGGAAAACATTTTGGTAGTTTCTCAAAAATTAAAACAGAGTTATCATATGATCCAGTAATTACACTCCAAGGTATATACTTAAAAGAAATGAAACCACACAAAAACGTATACCTGAATGTTCACAGCAGCATTATTCATCATAGCCAAAGTGGAAACAAGACCACTCAAGCCAGCCCTGCCTCGGAACCTGACAAAGTTAAATGGAAGCCTACACAGCTGAGCCGCATTTCCATGGGAGACATTTTGGTCATTCCAGGTGATGATGAACTACACCAATTGTTAGTGGCTGAGAAGAACCTCAGGAATGTGCCAGCATCTTTTGACTTTTATTTTGGGGGGCTGCATCTACTACCACAACATGCAATATGGGTAACACTGGCATGGCTGGTTAGATTTGATTACCTCATGCAAATAAGTCATGTGGTAATACTGATATTGATGATCAAATGTATTGGGAGATTGAGTTAAAGTCTCCTCAGGATGTAATACCAACGGAAAATGAGTCTTTAGAAGAACTATATTTAGTCAACCATCACCTAATTTCCAGATAAATAGTTCTGCACAGGTCATATAAGATACAAAGAGCAGTAGATCAAGGGGGAGGATGATCTTGGGGACTCCTGAAATATACTGTCAATAACCCAGATATCCTCCAGTAAATAAATGGATATACAAAGTGTGGTATACATACATATGTACATACAGTGGAACATTATTCAGCCATAAACAGGAATGAAATACTGATACAGGCCACACAATGAATGAACCTCAATAAACCGTAGAATCCTGCTAAGTGAAAGAAGCCAGTCAGAAAAGACCAGATATTGGATGACACATTTATATAAAATGTCCAGAATAGGCAAATCTAGAGACAGAAAGCAGATTCATGGTTGTCAGGGGTTGAGGGAAGGAGGAAATGAGGAGTGATTAAGTGAATTAATGCATGTTAACACCTTAAACTTTGGGCAACTGCCCAATCACACAGACAGTGCAGTCTCATTCATGGGCTACATGACAAAACAAAGAGAAAAGCCTGGGTAGAAATACCAACATGTATGTCATGAAAAATATAATACCTAAATAAACAGAGAAACTATGTTCCTTAATGAGCAAATTCAATATTATAAGGTTGCCAATTCTCCTCCCATAGTTTCTCAAAAGTTGCAATGTAATGCAATTTTAATCTAAATGGCATGGTTATCTAGACAAGAAAAAAATTGATTGTAAAATTTATATGAAATAATAAAGGTGTGAGAATTGCAAGGAAAATTTTCAAATGGAAAATTATTACAGGAGAAAGGAGTGTGGAGACCTTGCTCTGTATGGTAGAAGTCAAAGACAGCTACCATCAATTCTTTCCCTTCCTCAACACACATTGCTTCTCAAGAGGTGAGGAATAGCTCCCTTCCCCTTGAATCTGGCTGCCTTGCAACTTGCTTGATCCATAGAAAATGCCATAAATTCCATTCTGGGAATTCTACTATTGGATTTTTTTTTTTTTTTTGAGATGGAGTCTCCCTCTATTGCCAGTCTTGAGTGCAGTGGTGCAATCTCAGCTCACTGCAACCTCCGCCTCCCAGGTTCTAGAGATTCTCCTGTCTCAGCCTCCCGAGTAGTTGGGACTACCGGTTCACACCACCATGCCCAGCTAATTTTTGTATTTTTTTTTTTATTGGAGACGGGTTTCACTATGTTGGCCAGGATGGTCTCGATCTCATGACCTTGTGATCTGCCTGCCTTGGCCTCCCAAAGTGCTGGGATTACATGCATGAGCCATCGTGCCTGGCCCGATTTTTTTTTTTTTTTTTTTTTTTTAAGAAACTGAAGCCTCTACTTCGGTCTCTTGGTAGCCTTCCTCCTGGGAAGCTCTTTCTTGAATCTAGTCACCATTCCATTCCACCACGCCACATATGTCTTCTCCAGGCAACAGCCAACATCAATTGTCAGCCATGTAAGTGAGTTTCAGATGACTGTGGCCCCGGCTAATGTTTGACTGTAGCACATGTGAGAGGCCCCATGCAGAACCACCTAGAACCATGGAGAGCAGTCACCCTGCAGAACCATGAGTAAGTTAAGCTTAGGGGTGGTTAATTACGCAGAAATAAGTAAACAGAGCACTCCACCAGGTATTAAAGATTATTACAAAGATTATGTAATTAAAACAATACAGAACAGACCAGGGTTGACTACAAGATCAATGGGACAGAATAAAGTTACATATCCAATGCCTGCTGCTGACCACAGGGATTTGTCACAGATCTCATCACTTAGAAACCCTACAGTGGTTTCCCTGGTCACCTTCCAGTCACCACTACACCTTGGCTCCTTTTAGCACTCCTCCCTAGCTTATCACTA
Source organism: Homo sapiens (assembly GCF_000001405.40). Classification (NCBI taxonomy): domain Eukaryota; kingdom Metazoa; phylum Chordata; class Mammalia; order Primates; family Hominidae; genus Homo; species Homo sapiens. Next base: position 62,899,544 of record NC_000009.12, on the reverse strand, counting down.
TATAAAATTGCTTTATCTCTTTGTATTGTCTGTCACCTGCCACCATAATGTGAATTTCTAGACCTCCATAGCATGTAAAGCTCTAGAACAGTTCTTTGAACACAGAAGGTGCTTGACAAATATTTTCTGAAAGAAAAAGAAGATACTTCAATACCTCAGTTTACTAAGGACGTGGGGCTACCATATGGCTGCCTGAACAAATACAGCTTGACATTCACTTTCTTGCTACTGATTGAAGTGTATTAACTTGTGTAATCACACAACTACCCTATGGGGTAGGTGCCCTTATTTCTCCATTTGGCAGAGAGGGACTAAGTATCTTAACCAAGGTCACACGGCTTTCAAGTGCCAGAGCCAGGACTCAGATCTACACAGGTCTGGCTCCAGAGCCCCCAATCTAACCTCTTAACCTCTCTGCTTTACTGGGCTAAACCTTCACCACCTATCATATGGAAAAAGAAATTCAATAGAAAGTTATATGGAAAAAATACAACCCTGTGTTAATATTAGAAAATCCATAGTAACATGTAGAATGAGGAAGCTTCCTCAAGCCCAACTATACAGGTCAGATCGGTTGAAAAAATAAAACTAACAAATTTTTACATGTCAAAATATGCAATATTTGAAAATCCAAGGCTAATATCTTTAAATAGGCAAAGATTTATTAATACCCCTTGACACACAAACAGGAAGTGAGAAAATGGGCAACTGACACAAATCGATAATTAACTGTGAGGACATAGGTGGTGGAGTCTCTCCTAATCCTCTATTCTTGGAGATCTGAATGCCTGCCATTCGCGTATGGGAAGAACAGAGACGGTCATGGAAAACAGCATTTAATCTAGAAAGGACCACAATGAGGTCAAAGGGCGGTCTCAGGGCAGTCTTAAGAGCTCCCCATCCCCAAAGAACTGGCAAGGACTCTCCAGGTGCTCGTATGCGACTGCTGCCCAACTCCCATCATGAACTCAGAAGACCTGTCATTTTCTGAAATTTTCATGACTTCTAAGACACTAGTTATTGGGGAAAACTTCAAATTATTTAAATAATGAGAGGCGAATAACATTGCTAAACTCATGAATACTCTGTATTTAAAACCTCCACTGGCGATCAGGGCACATAGAATCTCTACTACTGATCCCTGACGCTGGCCATCCCCCAACCCGTCGGCCCACGGACCCCAGCCCTGACCCCACCTCCTCCCAGCATCTTACACAAGGATTCTCACCACACTCCCCAGAGACTCGCCTGCCCAGGGCCCCTCTCTAACCCCATATAGCTCAGGTCTCTGATCCAGAGACTGCATCACCGACCTCTCCGACTACCTATTTCCAGATTAGAGTCCCTGATCACAGAGGCATTGTCTAAAATAACTAGCTCTTACAACTATGTCCACTTCAGGAACCGCCCTGTGATGTCAGAACTTTGAGGCCGCCCGGCCAGGGCTGCACATGCTCAGTGAGGTCGGCGCCCGCCAGTAACAAACATGGCTCCCTGAAGCCGCTCAGGCTCAAGAGCAACATGGAGGTCTGCACTTAATCGCTCCTCTCCGGGGGCGGCCATACCGAGGAGGCGTCTCTTCCGTGCAGGCAGGCTCTCCTGGGGACCTCAGAGATTCTCTCCAGCGGCAGCGGAAAACGGACAATGGGTGGATTCGGGTCCAGATTCTGGTAGGAGGGAGTTTGGGATCGAGATCTGGAAAAAAGCACTAGACTGGAAGAGGACGCGATGGAGTCGGAGCCGCTGGCGGGGACAAAAACCAGAGGCCGGGGAAGGCGCCGGTGGGAGGCAAGGCACGGATGGACTTTACCTGCGCACGCGTCGCAGCCATCTCCGCGCACAGTGGTGGCCACCGCGACTGGTGCTGAAGTGTTGGCGCGTGCCGGGCGCTCCGCTGGGACCCGGGTTGCTGGCCCTGAGTCTCAGCTTTCTCATCTGTACGGTTGGGACAAGTACAGTAACCCTCGCCCGTCAAGACGGGCCAGGGCTGTGGCGAGGGTCCACGCCTTAGAGCAGGTACCTATCTTGTGCAGGGCCCTGAGATGGGGTCTGACTCAGTTCCTGCGGGGAACTTCACCAGTGACCCAGTCAGTGCCCTTCAGTTAAAGACCACCAGGAGCACACTTGTAAGTAAATATAATTACATTGCAGCAAGGAATGGGGTACTATGGGTCATCTCAGTGGGAGGAGTTAGAGAGAAACTATTATACGATTTGGACTTTAATTGGTTGATTTCGGACAGGATCTCAGAAAGTGAAGACTTTAGATTGGATGCTGTCAGAAAGCAGGAGCAATATGATTATTAAGTATTTTGTGGGTGGCATCAAGACCTTGTTTTTTATCTGCACTTAGACAACATTATAAAGTGCCCTTGTTTTTGTTTGCACTTATCACGGTCTCAGATTAACCTTCTGAAGTTGATATTCTGTGAGATTGTTTATGTCCAACAGGAAAACAAAATGTCCTGGCCATGAGCATCAGACCAGCGTGTAATCACATTAAGGCCTGTGACCCAAATATTGACAGAATTGAAGTTAGAAATAGTTCTACAGTAACAGAGTCTTCAATACTCCATTTAAAATAATGCATAGAAGCTGGACATGGTGGCTCATGCCTTTAATCTCAGCTACCTGGGAGGCTGCGGCAGGTGGATTGCTTGAGGTCAGGAGTTCGAGACCAGCCTGGGCCTTTTGGCCTGTCTCAGCTTTTAACATACCTTCCTCACTCAGCTTAATCATTTCTCACTTTAGATTTATAATAAGAGATGTGTGACTCTTACTTTCACTTGAACACATAGAGGCCTTTATAGAGTTATTAATTGGCCTAATTTCAATATTGCTGTGTCTCAGAAAACAGACCTGAGGAGAGGGTGAGATGGAGGAAGGGCAGATCGATGGAACCATTTGAATACACATATGTATCAATTAAGCTCATTGTCTTTTGGAGCATGGCTTGTGATGCCCCAAAACAATGACAATAGTAATATCAATGATCACTGATAACAGATCACCATAACAGATATAATAATAACAAAACATTTGAAATATTGCAAGAATTACAAAGATGTAACACAGAGGTGCAAAATAAGCACATGCTACCAGAAAAGTGGCACTGGTAGACTTGCTTGGTGCAGGGTTGCCACAAACCTTCAACCTGTACAAACTGCAATATCCGAGAAGCATAATAAAGTGAAGTGCAATAAAACAAGTTAAGCTTGTATATGTATGCATGCACACACCAGTACACATCCACCTATCCACACACAAATCTTTGTACTAACAAAGCCTGTATTTTCAATTCCAACAATACATCATTTGTACCTTAAAAATCTCTGTCATCCTTGTAGTGTCCTTTTCTGTCTTTGTTATCAGGGTAATGCTGGCCTCATAAAAAATGTTTGGAAGTGTTCCCTCCTCTTCAACTTTTGGAAGAGTTTGTGAAGAAATCGTATTAATTCTTCTTCAAACATTTGGTAGAATTCTCCACTAAGCTATCTGGTCTTGGATTTTCCTTTTTCAGGAGCTTTTTGACTACTGACTCAATATTTTTAATCATTATTTATCTGTTTTTATTTTCTATTTCTTCATGTTTCAGTCTAGTGGATGTATGTTTCTAGAAATTTCTCTATTCTAAGTTAAACAATTTGTTGACACATAGTTGTTTAGAGTAGACTATTATTATCCTTTGTATTTCTATGGTACCAATTTTAATATCTCCTTTTTTGTTCTAATTTTATTTACTTGAGATTTCTTTTTTCTTGGCCTAGTGAGAGGTTGGTCAATATTTATTATCTTTTCAAAAAATCAACTCTTCGTTTCATTGATCTTTTCTATTGTTTTTCTAGTCTATTTCATTTATTTCTGCTATGATCTTTGTTATTTCCTTCTTCTAATTTTGGGCTTGATTATTTTTTTCTATTTTTTGAGGTTTATTTGGGATCTTTTTTCTTTATTTAGCACTTATCTGTATAAACTTCCCTCTCTTAGAACGGCTTTTGCTTCATCTCATCAGTTTTAGTATGTCGTGCTTTCATTTTAGTTTGTCTCAAGATATTTTATTTCTTTTTTGATGTTTTCTTTGATCTACTGGTTATTCAGGAGTGTGTTGGTTGATTTCCACATATTTGTCACTTTTCTAAGTTTTCTCCTGTTTTTAATTTTCAGTTTCATGCCACTGTAGTCAAAAAGAATACTTGGTGAGATCTCAATCTTCTTAAATTTGCTAAGACTTGTTTTCTGGCCTAATATATGACCTATGTTGGAGAATGTACTGTGTATGCTCGAGAAGAATGTGTATTTTGCTGTTTTGGAAAGGAATGTCATGTATATGTCTGGTCCATTTGATCTATAGTGTAGTTCAAGTCAGCTGTTTCCTTACTGATTATCTGTCTGAGTGATCAATCCATTGTTGAAAGTGGGACATGGAAGTCCCCTACTGTTATTGTATTATTGTTGTCTACTTCTCTCTTCAGATTTGTTAATATTTGCTTTATATAATTAGGTGCTCCAATGTTGGGAGAATATATATTTGCAGTAGTTATATCCTCTCAATGAATTGACCCTTGTATCATTCTATAACGACTTTGTCTCGTTACAGTTTTTGACTTAAAGTCTATTTTGTTTGTTGTAAGAATAGCTACTCTGTCTTTTTTTGTTCCCTCTCTTTCTGTCTATGTGTGTCTCTAAAGGTGAAGTGAGTCTCTTATAGGTGGCATATATTTGGTTCTTGTTTTACTATCCATTCAGCCACTCTGTGTCTTTTGTTTCACTAATTTGGTCCACTGATATTTAAAGTAACTATTGATAGGCATTTTGTAGTTTTTTTGTTCTTTTATTTCTCTCTTGCTGTGCGTGATTTGATTACGTTGATTATTTTCTGTAGTGGTATACTTTGATTCTTTGCTGTGCCTTTGTATTAATTCTTTTTTAAACATGTGGTAAAATTCTCATTTGTGTATCTGTTACATGTTTTGTCTTTGTGTTTATCATGAGGCTTACATAAAACATTGTATGCTATCATGTGCCACACAAGGATGTTTTGGTCAATGATGGGCCACATATACAACGGTGGTCCCATAAGGTTATAACATTTTTATTGTACCTTTCATATGTTTAGATACATTAGATACACAAATGCTTATGATTGTATTACAGTTGCCTATAGCATTCAGTATAGTACAATGCTGTACAGATTTGTAGCCTGGAAACAATAGGTTATACCAAATAGCCCGGGTGTGTGTTAGGTGGTATTATCTAATTTTGTGTAAGTATACTCTATGATATTCACACCATGACAAAATTGCATTATTCAGGACATGTCCGCATTAAGAAATGCATGATTGTAGTTATAATGGTCTATTTTAAGTTGATAACAACTTAACTTCAATCATATACAAAAACCCTACACTTTACTCCCCTCCACTTATGTTTTTTGATGTCAGAGTTTCTTTCTTTGTATATTTTGTAATTATATTTATTTGTAGTATTTTTTGTCTTTTAACCTTTTAAAAGTTAAAGTGATTATACTCCATCATTACAGTATTAGGAGTATTTTGAATTTGACTGTACAGTTACTTTTACCAGTGACTTTTTATAACTACATATGGTTTCATGATACTAATTAGTCTTATTGCATTTCAGTTTGAGGAACTCCCTTTAGGGTTTCTTATAAAGCAGATCTAGTGATAGTGGACTCCCCTAGATTACTTTGGGGGGTTTCTGAAAAAGTCTGTAAGTCCTAGCCAGAGCAATTAGGTAAGAAAAAGAAATAAAAGGCATCCAAATTGGAAAAGAAGTGAAAGTGTCTCTATTTGAAGATGACATGATCTGTATAGAAGTGGAATAAAGAGTAGCTGACAACAATGCTGAAATAGTTACACATGAAGTTTTAATGAGCTATTTCATATTAAGATACATATTGAGAATTCAAACCAGAGAGACCAGTTAATTGATATTTTCCCAACTCTGTTTTAGGGTGATCATAGAAATGATATCCACAAGTTAGTCACAGTGGCCTGCATCCATTTTGATATATCAGTGATGTATTTTGATTGGCCAGTGATCGCCCATACTGACTGTTAAATATTTTTGTTATCACTCCTATGCATGGTGAATTTGAGTTCTGGTTTTCTTTAGCCTTGTGTTATTTATGTGTAAAGTTGGATTATGGAAGGCAAAGAATCTCTCCTGTGTCATTCACGCTCAAGTAAATGGCAGTGGGGTAGGGATGTAAATGAAACTGCGTGATAAGCCCTGCAAGTCATTCTGATGTATCAATTTTGCTTACTGGTGTTTAATTGCAGACATTGTCATATTAATGCAACCACTAATACATTATGGAGTAAGATGCAAAAATCACATGAGTCTTAAGAGAAAAGAAATGTGCTTTCTATGGTGGGCCCCTTTTGTATTATTCTCTAACTTCTTATTTTATACCTCTACTATTAGAGAAATTTCAGTAGAAAATCATGAGGGGCACCGTTTTAGAGTTTTTGTTGTTATAGGTATGCTTTTACTACAGCTAGGTCCCCTTGTACATCTTTATGTTCTTTGGCAGTCTAGAGAACCAGAAGAGCAAACTCTATGAGATAGAAACTCTAAGAATTTATTTACCTCCAGCATCCCTTCTCTTCTTTCATTAAATTGAATTTGTGGCCAACTCAAAGACTGACAATTTATACTATGGTTTTTATGTTTTTATATTATAATTTATATTATGGCTTATGTCAAAATGTTTTGTTCACTGCTTTGAAAGTATCTTTTGTTTACTTTTGTTATTTCATATTTTCATTTTTTCCTTTCTAATTGTTAGAAACTCATGTATTTTATCTTTCAAAGAAAATTTTTTAAAAGGCTTACTCTGCTTATATGTATATTTTGCACAAAGCTTTCCATTCATAAACAAAAGGTGAATAGGAATCAGAATTGAAAACTACGTAATTTCTTTTCTCCTTTTGAGTCAAATCATCACAGTATAGATTAGTCATTGTGTATGAAGTGCATTGCCAATACATAGTCACATTTGTGTAGAAATGTAAAGGCTATATCTCAATACAAATCAAAAACCAAAAAATGCAGAAGACCATTAGCTAATAATACTAATAATCTAGTATAGAAAGCATGTGCCAACTGATCTAGACTCTTGTGACAGTTGTATATCTACCCAGCTGCATGACCTGAGGTGTATCAAAATCTTGATTTCCTAGACTACAAATGAGTAAAAGGGATGGAGGCCCCTTACAGTTTTAAGATTCTAGAATTCTAAGTGTGTGTAACTAGAGCAAATTTTATTTTCTAAAATTTGCATAATAAATTTAAAAATAGGAGAAAAACAAATAATTAAAGTACATATTTCTAGAAATCTTTTTTAGGTGACTTATACTACCAGGAATGGATTTACCACTAAATATTGGTTTTGCCTAATTCAGCATTGCTATGTAATTTGATGGAAGTATAACTCCATAGACAAAGAGATTTGGTCCTAACATAGCTTGTATTTTATATGTATATACACTATTTCTATTTAAATTTCTGTGTAGTCATGTTTTACCCTTTTAAAATGAAGATTAGTTTTATTATGTATTTTCTTTTGTCTATAAACATTCAATGAATTCACACTGAAAACTGATTATGAACAGATAGTCTGCTAGGCACTAAGGAAACACATACAAAAAACTAAGTCCTCCTCTGCCCTCAATATGCTCACAAGACTACAGTTACTGAAGCCTGACCTCAAAACCTAGCTAGCAAAGTCCTTGAATCAGGTGATAGTTCAGAATACCATTTGTGCTCTCTCCCAAGAGTATATCTGAGGAAGGGCAGTTCTTTCTAGTTTTCTACATCCTGGTCGTATAGGTCAACCACAGGAAAATTAAATGAATCTATTGTTTTGGTGACCTAGCCTTTTCATATAACTCTCATCTATAAATGTATTACCAAATACTATTTATGTAAAGGGACTTGTATGACAAATATTTTGAAATTAAAACCACAATGGTTAGCATAGCTTTTAAATTAGATAGATGTTGACCTCCCATTGGTAAACATATAAAGTGCTACCAAGATCTGCCAATGACAGACTTTGGAAGTGGAAATTCATCTTTGTAATAATCCTGTTATCTGTAGGCTGACTTCAAACCTTCATAACATTCAGGGCCCCTTATTCCTAACTGTATCTTCTATTTTGGGCATTGTGCTCTTGCCATCTAACAGGAAAACAACTTTCAGTGCTGCCATCTTTTGAACAGGAGAGATTTCTAGAGATTAGAAAATTACTAAATTTAAATATACATAGTTTTAAAATATGATACTTTTCTACCCATGCATTCAAATATATTCTAACTTTAAAATCCTGTAAATACTTATATTTGTAATGATTTTACTTATATGATCCAATTAATTGGCAAGAATATGTGGTGAAAGATTTTTTACATGTTTGTATTGTTCTGTGTGAGACATCTATTGTAAGCATTGCTTCAGGCCCTCATTTTTGTCTGCCTTCCAGGATTTGCTGGCCCAAGTGCTGTGTGCTAGCTTAGTGTCAGTCACAAAGGGGAGGGAAACTTGCAGTTGAGCCAGACAGTTTTGTTATTCCTTTAAAATTAAAAGCATATGAAACAGATACAGCTTATTAAGGTTTTTTTTATAAATAACATAAACTTAAATAACAAAACAATAAGTTCAAAAACAACTTAATATAGAGTTTAATGCAGTAACCATAGGAAAAAAGCGTGATTATTTGTGGGAAGAACATTATTAAAAGCCATATTCCCAAATATGAATTATACAAAGATAGATTATGTTACTTGAAAAAAACTTAAAGATTTCTCAATTTTACTTTGAGGAATTATAAAATGTTATTTAGTGGCAAGTAAGATGAAGTACAGTATTATCATCAATCACTGTTGCTATCTTATATACAAGATTTTTGGAAACATCCTTTTAGCAATACCCTTTCCACTTGAGCAGCATTAGAAATTTTGTTCTTGTTAATAGGTATAAGCATGTTCTAATCCTGTACTTTTGTTAAATTATCTATTTTATTGACTTTCATAATAGATTTTTTTGAGAATATTCTTTTTTTCTGATTAGAGTTTAAGTAGATTATAATTTTTCACTAGAAAGCATTTAAAATGCTGCTCATTTTCCATAGTTAGTGTGGGTTGATTATCTGACAAATCCTGCCAGCAGCCTGTAGGTCTGATATACCTTATATAACATCATCTGCATTATTATTATTATAGCAGCCATTTTATAAGCAGATAGGAATATTTAAATAATCATTATCAGATAATCAAATCTAACATACTCTTAAGGGTAAATTAATTTAAGAACAAAATTACTATTACTAACATCATGATTGTACAACCAGTTTTAAAATTTTGTACAACCTTTAGTTACTAAATCTGATTTTTGTGTATACTTTTCAAATGTCTCTTTAATGCAGTGCCTTAAAACAAACATAAATGCACAAGTCCAGCTTGATCAGTTTTTCAGTAGTTTTCCAGCCTTTCTTGATTACTAGAAAATAAAAGGAAAGAAAATTTTGAGAAGAAAGAAAACAGTCCACTTAAAGAAATCTCCCTGCTGGAACTGGTTCTTTATATACCATATGCAATTAAGTTATTGCCATAGGAAGAAAGTGGGCTGTTTTTTGTTCTTTCTTTGTTTTTTTTTCCTCTTACAGGAATCCCCTTTTGATTTAAGGCCACAAACATTTCCCCTCCGTTGTTTGTCCATTTAGCTGCTGCATATGTGTTGTAATGGTTTTCCAGAATTAGATCTTTGAAGTTACAATCTTCATTGCATTCCTTCTGTTAAAACAAACAAACAAACAAACAAACAAACAAACATGATCCAAATGATTTTTAGAGAGGCTCAATTAAACGAAGAGTAAGCAGGTAATATTTGGTAGAATTGAAACATACACAACTTTTTTTAACCCTCAGATTGAGCAGGCCTAATGTGGTTTATTAGCTAGACTTATGTAGTATATTTGCATTAAAAGGTATCTTAAATTTGAAATAGAAACACCACATAATACACAGCTAGTTATGAAATATGTGTAGCTTTTTGGAAGTTCATGTCAACTATTCTTTAAAATTAGGACCTATTTCCCCCTAAGTAACAGGCCTCATATTACTATTCCCACATCACTCATTCTTTAACCACTGGAAATTTGCTATAATTAGCAGAACCTCTGCCTCCCTCAGGTGAGAGACTTGTTTCACAACTTTTCTTTATTTACTTCTACATTGTCTTCAATGGTAATGGAAGATAAAAGGTTAATTTGTTTGTTCATCCATGCAACCATTTGTTCATTCAGTTAAACCTGTATCATTATACAATTAGCCTGTTCCAGGCATTATGCTGAGCTGTGGGAATATAAAGGAAAGCCAATTATATTTTATTACAGTGAGATGAACTGTTACATATTTTGCATTGTAGTGAAGTGGGAACAATGTGAATAATTACAGTTCAAAGCCCATGATTGTCAGATTGATATTGATGAATGAACTAAACATTTCAAGATTTTTTCCCAAGAATTTTCATGTCAGCAATGTGCAAATTGAGTGAACTTTAACAAAAAGAGCTTTAATACTGGCAAATGGAAATTTTGGATTTTAAATATCTAAAATGCACATGGAATTTTAGAGCTGGCAGGATCCTTAGAGGTCAGCTAATTCAACTCATTTTACAGATGAAGAAACCAAAATCCAAAGAACAAGCCATTTGTCCAAAGTCACACAGAAAACATTTTTTCTTAATGTTTGAGTATAAAGTGTTTTAATAAAATCATTAAATTATACAGTTGGAGATAAATTAAGTCCATTTTTACTTTTCAGAATGGTGAGATATTTCAACAAAAGAGTTTTAAAAATTAAGCCTAAGCTATCAATTATCAATACCTTTGCATAGAGTTTTCCTTCCTCGTTCATTGCAAGATAGAATTCACTTTCCACCCCTTTGATTGCCACAATCCCAACTGCTACTGTCCTGATTTCCATGATATCTGCAAGGAATCACAGAAAGACATGTCAAGTATTCGTTCAGCTTTGCAAATGATCCACGAATGGCCGTTTGTTCTTATTTCTGTTTTAATCGGAAGTTTTTAAAATTTTTAATGTGATTATTTACTCAGCCCAAGACCCCGACCCACAACAGATACACACAAACACCAGAATAGTCATTATATAAGGGAAGTGCAAACTGGCGGTTTTTTATTTTGTAGAAAATATGTCTGTATCAAATAAATAGTTACATATTTGAGTTCAGCTTTTTATTCTCTAGAATTAAATTTCTAATTTACTATAATAATAATAGCTAATGTTTATTGAACTCATACCACATGCCAAGGATTATTGCATTGCTCTTATGTATTAACTCATTTACTCATAACCACAGATTGAGGCAGGTAGTCTTGTTATCCCAGTTTTACAGATCAGGAAACTGAAGCACAGAGAAACTAAGACATTTGCCCAAATTCTTATACCTGATAAGTAGCAGAACTGGAATTTGAACCCAGACATTCTGGCTCTTAATCATTATATAATTACTTTTCTATTTGGATAAACTTTATCTTAAAAATTATTGCCAACAGAATAGCTCTTGAATATACTGAAAGTGAAGAAAATTCTAATTAAAGTAATTGTAAATGATGGTAAACAGAGCCTACTGTCTTAAAAAAAAAAGATTGTTTTAAACTGATAGTATTTTGATACATGAAAAGACCATTTAAAACAAAATTATGAATCCTGTTTATATAATACTTCATAACTTTATATCTTTGTAATTAACTTTTAAATCTTTGTTGAAATAGTATTTACAAAACATGTTTACACAAGAATGATAACTTACTATTTTCCTTTATTATATATATCTTCCTTAAATCCTGTGTTTTAATGACACAATAAAGTAAAATCTCAAGAAATTTATTAAAATGATGTAAAAATTTTAGTGTACTTTTATGCAATTTGCTATTAATTACATTTTCTACATGAAGGTACAGTCCTGAGACATTCTTTTACCTAAGTCTAACACAGTGCAAAGAAAAGTCGAAGTGTCAATTATCTGTGTGATTGGGCCTTCAAAAGCTATCTTCTAAAATATTGACTTAAAGAAAAAACTAATTGTTTTGCCCCATACCTTCACTTCATTCTCTTATTTATTTTTTTGACTTCATTTTTGCTACCTGGATAATAAAATTTCTATTCATGTCATTGGGATTTAATGTAGCCTAGCTAATATTTCTCATTTGCCTCACATATATGTTGCATACAGAAGCCCTTTTCCCAATATACTATACTTAACACTAGTCAGAGCTCGTCCAGTTGAGTTTCACAGCTACTCATCCAGAAATTGGGTTTTATTAAGAAAATGTAAATGAATGGATATTAATCTTTTTATATATTTATTAAGCATTATCACAACCCTACTGTGCATACAACCCTACTGTGGTTTTAGGACACAAATTAAGAAAAACAGCCCTGGTTTCTGACACCAGAAGTTAAAACCTAATAGAAAGAGCAGACACGTCCATATATTTTGAAGAATTTTGAAGAACACAGGCCTGAATAGGCCAGAGAAAATTTTAATAATTGCTTACAAGCACATGAAGGATTATGATGTTGATGCATTCATGAAATGTTCAACAGGTCTTCACTGAGAGTCAATTTTATGCTAGGCTCAATTCACAGACAAGCCTTGCCCTTTTAGAGCACTCTATTTGGTAACTACAGCTTCATTGCATTAAAGGAAGCACAAAGGGAAATAACATGCAGAAGAATACTATTAGGTTAAATTTGTACGAATACAATGAAAAATACTGAAGAAGTTCATTGATTCAGCATATTTGCAATACCTCCAAAATGGAATGAATGTATCAGTTAGGTCGGTGCAAGAGTAATTGTGGCTTTTGCCATTACTTATATGACAAAAACTGTAATTACCTTTGCACCAAACTAATATTTAAAAGACATATGGAATAGTTGGTTTCTAAAGATCTTAGCATTGTAAAATATCATTAAAAAGTCAATATTTTCTTTTCCTTCAAGTCTCTTTACTCCTGCCATTCCTCCCTTTATTTAATATATTTTCTTTTAGATAAAAAGAGAATGCTGATGCACAAGCTTAGAGTGTCTTTCTTGATCAGTTATTAGGGACTAGAATCTGTAATGTTTGCTGGCTTTTCTTTTACAGAACAAATGTAAAACATAAATGTTGACTGATAGAGTTATTATTAATTATGATAGGCAGACATCTTCCCTTTTTGGTCCTGTCATGACAATAAGTTCATATTGTCCCACTCCCAAAACATTTTCCTCTATCCCCTGCCTGTCTATTGCCCACTGTTTCTATACTGCACTTTACAAGAGGTGATGGCTGGATGTGGTAGCTCACACCTGTAATCCCAGCACTTTAGGAGGCCGAGTCAGGCAGATCACTTGAGGTCAGGAGTTCAATACTAACCTGGCCAACATGGCGAAACCCCGTTTCTACTAAAAATACAAAAAATTATCCGGGTGTGGTGGCGGGTGCCTGTAATCCCAGCTACTCAGGAGGCTGAGGCAGGAGAATTGCTTGAACCCAGAAGGCAGAGGCTGCAGTGAGCCAAAACGGTGCCACTGCCCTCTAGCCTAGGCAACAGAGTGAGACTGTCTCACCAAAAAAAAAAAAAATTAGTTGGGCATGGTGGTGAATTCCTATAATTCTAGCTACTTGAGAGGCTGAGGCAGGAGAATCACTTGAACTTGGGAGGCAGAGGTTGCAATGAGCCGAGGTCACACCACAGCACTCCACTCTGGGTGGAGTGAGGCTCTGTCTCAAAATAATAGTTAAATAAATAAATAAAAATAAGGTGGTGAATATTTTTAATCTTATCCCTCCACATATTAGGGTTAAGGATACCAAAAATTCTTCGTAAAGATTCTACGTTTAGCTGAGATGAGAACAGACTTACATTCTTAATTGCTTGACATATTTAAAAAATACCATTCACACTGGGAAATCAACATATCTAAAAGACAATTGCTTGGGGAGAGCATTAAGCAGTGTTGGCAGAATCAGTACCTTATCAACCCTATTTTCTAGTCTATTTTGTTCCATGTCCTACGACCCTCTTTTATTCAAGAAAAGCTCAAGAATAAAGAAATTAACATTATCACTTTTTTGTTCAGTTGCAGTGTGGGGAGTGATGTTCCTTTCAATATGCACAAATATTTATAGAAGTGTTAAATATGGGCTGGGCGCAGTGTCTCACGCCTGTAATCCCAGCACGTTGGGAGGCCAACGCGGGCGGATCACCTGAGGTCAGGAGTTCAAGACCAGCCTGGCAAATATGGTGAAACCCCATCTCTACTAAAAATACAAAAATTAGCCAGGCATGATGGTGGGTGTCTGTAATCCCAGTTACTCGGGAGGCTGAGTCAGGAGAATCATTTGAACCTGGGAGGCGGAGGTTGCAGTGAGCCGAGATTTCACCATTGCACTCCAGCCTGGACAACAAGAGCTAGACTCTATCTCACCAAAAAAAAAAAAAAAAAAAAAAAAAAATTATTAACTATGAAATCCTACCCCTCCAAATCAGAAGCCACGAAGTTGCTCAGAAAACATAATAGAAAAATATGTAATATGCAGATATTAAGTTAGTTACCAATATAAGTTAATTATACTTGGTTTTTTTGTCTACAGTGTATCCGTTGCCTCATATAAAACAAATAGAAGAGGCTGTCTTTCTTTGTGGATTTCCATTTGTGCTTAAGAGAAGTTTGTTCACATAAATAGCACTCAGTAAATTTATTCCCAGAGATTTAAAGCATATTACATAGATGCATCCAATTGTTGACATAATGTCCATGATAACATAATGACAGAGTTCAAAAATATAAATGAAAAAGAGAGAGAGAATCAGCTCATGCAATAGAACATGAAAAACCAGGCAATATGTCAAGCACATTGACCATTTTGCCTTGTTAGCAATATTGTCAACAATAGCATAAATTTATTATTTAGGATGTCACCCTTACACACTAGAGACTATGCCCTAAATAGCTTCCCTATTTTTTATCGTCTGGTTCAATAATTCATGAATTTATCTAAACTTTTTGTCTGTTTATTATTTAAACCTGTGTCACACTTGGAATGAAAAGTGGGGAACTTTGATCTAAATTGCAATTACTTTTTAAAAAAATTCTCTAAAGTCTTTCAGAATTTTAGGTGTCCCTCTAATCTTGTATTTCAGAAGTTGATACTAATTCTTTTTTTAATTACCAATAGCTTTGTGATTTTAAAGTGCTTTAACTTTCCTGTTTGAAAAATTACTTTTTAGTGTCTCACTACACAGAATCCATGGCCACCAATCTCAGCATCATTAATATTTCTTTTTCCTGAAACTGTTAAAGCCTTATATTTAAAGTTTTGAAGGGGTATATATTAATATGGCTGTGCTAGCATGATAACTAAATATTTTCAAGTTGCAAAAAAAAGTGGAGGCAGCGGTTTGATAGTTAGCCAGTCAGAACATTTAATCTTGTCCTTGATCAAATATACCCTCTTCGGCATGTTAAAACTAAGAACTAGTATCAACAAAGAAAAAAACATTTAAATTTAAATACATTTTATGATTTTCTGTCAAGCCTGGATTGTTGAGTGGGAAATCTTAACCATTATATATTTATATTATGTTTAAGGCTATAGATTCCATTCATTTTACATCACTAAAATACACCGACATATACATATATGCAAAAAATATATCAATATATCCAACATATACAAAAAACACTGAAAACACAACAATAGGAAAAAAAAACTAGTTAAAAAGTGGGCAAAATCTGGACACCTCACTAAAGATACACGAAGGGCAAATAAGCAGACGAAAAGATGCTCAATATCATAGATCATCAAGGAATTGCAACATGGATGCAGCCGGAGGCCATTATCCTAAGCAAATTAACACAGGAACAGAAAAATAACTACTGCATGTTTTCACTTATAACTGGGAGCTAAACACTGGGTACTTAGGGACATAAAGATGGCAACAACTGACACTGGGGACTACTGGCGGGGAGTAGATGAGGGAAGGGTTGAAAAACCATTAGGTACTATGCGCAGTACCTGGGTGATGGGAGCAATCATACCTCAAACCTCAGTATCACACAATATACCCAGGTAACAGACCTGCACATGAACCCCCTGAATCTAAAATAAAAGTTGAAATTATTTAAAAAGGAATTGCAAATTAAAACAACAACAATGAGATACCTCTATACAACTATTAGCATGACTAAACTCCAAAAAACTGACAGTGCTGTATGCTGGCAAGGATGCAAAGCAACCAAAACTCTTTCATTAAACAAGTTTCAACAAAGTTAAAATCATTTAAGTCATGTAAAGTATATCAAACTTCTCCTTTGAGCAGGCCTCTGTGCTGAGCTCTATGGTCAACTAAAGACTCTGTTGTTGCTCAGCTACACAGGGCTGATCAGGGCTAGAAGCCATTATGCCCCACACATATGTGCGGACTTGATCTTGTCTCCTGGCCTAAGGTAGGCTTAAACAAAGCTTAGTGGAGTCCCTGGTCAGCTGCTGGTGCTGGGTGGGGACCAGATGTACTCTCTGCAGAGAAGTGCTGACGTTCACTTGCCTTCTAGCCTGGGCAATGCTGTAGAAAGCACCAGGTCTATGTAGGAAAGCTGGCGAGGGATGCGAGCTGGGTACACCTGTCAGCTGTACTTCCTGTGGTACAACGCTGTTGGCTAGTCTCTCTCATATGATGCCTCCATTAGCCAGAATGCAGACTAACTACATGCTAGTCTCTGTGAGATCTACTCCCATTCTTTGTTTCTAGCTGACTCCAGGTGGTCTAGCCCCGATGGCACTCCTAATGTTTCCTGTGGTATAAGACAAGAGTGAGCCTCCTGTGAAGGGTCCTAGAATGGTGGGCAAGCTGAACGTCCACCTCCAACTTTCTTTTCCCACTGTAGAAATAGTGGGTCCGGTGAAATCCTCTGTGTGTCGTGCTGTGCCAGCTTGGTGGAGGGGTGGCATGCTCAAAATGAACTGTTCCTCTTACCCTTCAAAGCACAGCTTTTCCTAGTTCTGCAGTACAATTGGGTGTCTCAGTCTCACCCCTGAGTTCTGGGATATTCAGAAAGGTATTCTTGCCTGTGGATAGTTGCTAGTTGGATTTCCGTGTGGGGGTGTGGAGCTGGAGAAATTCTATTCTGCCACCTTGTGAAGTCATTCTCTGGAATAATTTTAGATTTACATAGAGTTGCAAAGATGGTAAAGACAGTTTCTATACACTCTTCACTTAGTTTCTTCTGATGTTAACCTCTTACGTAACCATGGCACATTTATTAAAAATGAGAAATTAACATTGTATAATACTATTACCTAAATGACAGGCTATATTTAACCAGTTTTTCATTTTTGAGAGGAAGTCTCACTCTAATGCCTAGGCTGGAGTGCAGTGGTGCGATCTTGGCTCACTGTAACGTCAACCTCCTGGTTTCAAGTGATTTTCATTCCTCAGCCACCCGAGCAGCTGGGATTACAGGTGCCCAACACCACGTCCAGCTAATTTTTGTATTTTCAGTAGAGACGGGATTTCACCACGTTGGCCAGGCTGGTCTCAGACTCCTGACCTTAGGTGATCCACCTGCCTTGGCCTCCCAAAGTGCTGGGATTACAGGAGTGAGCCACCGTGCCTGGCCCACATTTCACCAGTTTTTTTTTTTTTTTTTTTTTTTTTTTTAACTAATTTCTTCTCTTTGTTCCCAGGTACCATCCAGGATCTCATATTGTGTTTAGTCTTCATGTCTCCTTAGTCTACTTCAATTAGGGACAATCTCTCTGTCTTTCCTGGCTTTGACACTTTGAAGACCACTGACCAGATATTTTTTAGAATGTGCATCAAATGATTTGGGTTCATCTGATGTTTTCTCTTAATTAAAGTGGGGTTGTAAATTTTGAGGAAGAATTTCACATAGTTGAAGTGACCTTCCCATTGTGTCACGGTGGTGTGAGGTAGCCATATGACTTTTCATTGTTGATGTTAAGCTTGATTACTTGGCTATGTTGGTGACTTGATGGTTTCCTCCACTACAAAATTACAGTTTTTACTTTTCCGTATTCCATTTCTTAAAAGTCAGTCATTAAGACCAACCTGCAAGACTGGGCACAGTGTCTCATGTCTGTAATTCCAGGACTTTGAGAGACCAAGGTGGGCAGATTGCTTGAGCCCAGAAGTTCAAAACCAGCCTGGGCAACATGATGAAACCCCATCTCTACAAAAGTTACAAAAATTAGCCAGGTGTGGTGGAGTGCACCTGTAGTCTCAGCAATGTGGGAGGCTGAGGTGGGAGGATCACTTGAGTCTCGGTTGTTGGGGTTGCAGTGAGCTGTGATTGCGCCAATGCACTTCGGCCTGGATGACAGAGGAAGACCTTATCTCAAAAACAAAAACCCAAACCACAAAAACAAGACTAACTTGCAAGCCACATGAGGGGAATTCAACTTCACCTTAATTCAAAATCACCACAGTGATTAACAAATATTTAAAGAATTTTTCAATGGTTATAGAATTCTGGGTTGATAGGTTTTTAAAAATTCTTTTATGACTTCAAAAGTGTCACTTCGTTTCTTGCTTGCATGGTTTCTGATATGAAGTCAGCTCCCATTCTTAACCTTGTTTCTTGTTTGATAATGTCTTTTTTCCTCTAACTTCCTCAAGATGTTTCTCTTTTGAGAAAAATGAGAGATTTTCAGTTTTTGTGTTGATTTCTCTTTGTCTCTGGTTTTCAGCAATTTGAACACATTCCATGTCACTTTAAGAGTTCTTCATCAGGGGTCACTGGACACGCGTCACAATTAACAAAGGGGAACACATTCTCCAAATGTATTCTGTTTCCCCAGGAAGCCAGCTGGAAATACAACAAAACGCCTCTCCCGCTCCTTTAGCAAAACATGTGTCAGAGCAACGCAAGATTTGATTGGGACTGCTTTACTTCGTTAACAATTACAGTGAGCTGTTTTTTTTTTTCTAGTAACAACCCAGTAATAGTTATTAAATTATTTGGAGCTAAATAAGTGTAATGGTAATTTTCATTTAAATTTTGCTATATGGTAGCTTAGAGCATCTTACCTGTACACAGTTCCAAAGGCAGAAAACCTAAATTAAATTAACATATAAAAAATTAACATAGATGTATCATTACAGGTTCTCAAAACCATCATAAATGGCTCTATTTTACATCTCTGAGCTCTTATATGATGTTTCCTTTAACTATGTCATAAGATCTAAGACTATGGTTTGAAATATATACCTACTATAAAAAAGTAAGCCTTCCTGCTAGTGTCAATAGATAAAAACAAAACAGACAAAACGACAACCAAAAATGCCCAGAAATCCTTTTTTTTTTTGTGAGATGGAGTCTCACTCTGTCACCCAGGCTGGAGTGCAGTGGTGCGATCTCAGCTCACTGCAACCTCCGCCTCCCAGGTTCAAGCAGTTCTCCTACCTCAGCCTCCTGAGTAGCTGGGACTACAAGCGCCCACCACCATGCCTGGCTATTTTTTTTTTTTTTTGTATTTTTATAGATACAGAGTTTCACTGTGTTAGCCAGGATGGTCTCGATCTCCTGATCTCGTGATCTGCCCGCCTCGGCCTCCCAAAGTGCTGGAAACCCTATTTTCAAATGCATATTTGCATTCATAATAACCCGTGAATACATACATCTATTGATCTATGTATTCATGCATCTCTATATGTAAATGTCTGTCCAAAATGCCACTATATATATATTTATATATTAAACTTTTATTTTAAGTTTGGGTTACATGGGCAGGTTTGTTATATAGGTAAACGCGTGTCATAGAGGTTTGTTGTACAGATTATGTCATCTCTCAGGTATTAAGCCTAGTAACCAATAGTTATTTTTTGTACCCCTTTCCCTCCTCCCACCCTCCACTCTCAGGTAGGCCCCAGTGTGTGTCACTGCCCTCTATGTATCCATGTGTTCTCATCGTTTAACTCCCACTTGTAGGTGAGAAGATGCGGTATTTTGTTTTCAGTTCCTGTGTTAGTTTGCTAAGGATAATGGCCTCCAGCTTCATCATGTTCCTGAAAAGGACATGATCTCATTCTTTTTTATGGTTGCATAGTATTCCACTATTCCACGGTGTGTATGTACCACAATATGTTAAATTTTAGTTTATTACAACTTTTATGCAACACACAATGGCAAGATGAATCAGATCAGAAGATAAACAATTGAGTGTGAAAAGACAGCAGTTTTTTTCCTGTTTTATTGTCTGCAGATGTAATTTTCAACGAGAATACATTTTATTGCATTAGTAGTGCTTTTAGAAGAGACATCAATATGATGCCCAGGCTGGTCTTGAACTCCTGGTCTTAAGCGATGCTCCCTCCTAAGCTTCCCAAAGTGGTAAATTGTACTTCCTGAGGGCATAGAAAAGAGACATAGAAGCAAGTGAAATTGGTATTACCCTTTTTTCTGTTACTCTTTATTAGTAAAACAAATTAGGTTTTTCTTTCCTTGGTTTTCATGTGTCCAAGCTCCTTTCTCTTTCATTTCACATGTGCACAAATATAATAACATACACTTTTGAACATCAAAAGTTGAATGATGAAAGATCATTCGTTAGCCCAAATCAACCTGCACATGACTTTTTTTTTATTCCGCTGAGAGTTAGCCTGTGGAAAGGTGGCAGGGTTTCACTGCATTATCCCCTGCAGATGGAAAGGTCAATGACAACATGTGTAATTGCTTCAGTCCTGATTTTCTACCTACACTTTCTGCTTCGGGGTTGTTTCACCTGACCAAGGCAGTTTCTGTGGCAGCAGGTCCTAGCTCTCTCGACCAGGTCCACTGACAAAGCCACTTTGCTGAGTGGCCAATTTGCTGATGACTATTTTGTTAAATTTGTTTCTGCTATTTAAGGTTGACATATTTTCTTGTGTCATAGTCTCAGCAAAAGTGAAGGGATGGCTGGTCTATCTCTGACCTGGCTTTCTGCTTTGACAGATGGAAGCTAAAAGAAAAAAGGAAAAACTGATGGTGCAAAAGATAAACATATTTATATGAATTTATTCGTGAATAAAATGATTTATTTTTAAAATATATTCTTGATATGATTTGGCTGTGTCCCCACTCATCTTAACTTGTGGTTCCCATAATCCCCATGTGTTGTGGGAAGGACCCAGTGGGAGGTAATTGAATCATGGGGGCGGTTACTTCCATGCTGCTGTTCTCATAATGGTGAGTGAGTTCTCACGAGAACTGATGGTTTTATAAGGGCCTTTTCTCCGTTTGCTCAGCACTTCTCCTTTCTGCCATCATGTGAAGGAGGACATGTTTGCTTCCCCTTCTGCCATGATTTTAAGTTTCCTGAGGCCTCCCCAGCCATGCTGAACTGTGAGTCAATTAAAGCTCCCTTTTACAAATTACCCAGTCTCGGGTATGCCTTTATTAGCAGCGTGAGAACGGACTAATACAATTCTTCCGATGAATATATTCTTCTCATTGATAAATGCTTGATGTAAATGCTTAATTTTTCCTCTAGCTGCCTTCAAGATTTTTCTCATTGTCTGTGGTTTTCAGCAATTTGGATACCTTACATATCATTTTTGTGAATCTTCCACAGAGATCAGTGGACACATGTGGCACAAAGAACATGTGAATTAAGAATGCACTCCTGAATAACATATTTTACATATGTATTATTGAGTATATTCTTAAATATAAATAATTTCTTATGAATATATTTTGATTAATAAATATATTAATAAATATTAACTTATGCATATTCTTCTTATTCAAAAATATGTTCTTATAAATATATTAATTACTCCCTCTCTCTTCCCCCTAGTCTCCAAAGGTAACATCAGGGGCCAGAACAGAGACACAGAAATGTTCCTTAAAATGTCAAAATGAAATATTGTCTATTAAAACAGAAGAATTAAAATAAACAAGAGAAGTTGGGCATTGGTCATCTGATGGTTGTAACCTCCAGCTTTCCCAGGAAACTTGGTTGGACCCTTTTCTTGTGTTCAGCTGTCAGAAGCTAAATGTTCCCTTCCTCTCTCTCTTTGCAGTCTGTTCGTGACATTTGGTATTCCTAATATGCCCACTTGGAGGAAATTGCCAGCTTAGGCCAACCAGGGTGAAATGCATGCGCTTATAAACTCATAAGCCCAATAATAATTTTCAGAAGGAGGCACTCATTCACTTCGGCTTATAAACTTGCAAATCTGTAGATTCATTAGTCTATCACTTACATGGAAAGACAAAATTTATATTTAATTGTTGAGACTTGACTTCAAAATTTTCAAGAATATCAACATTTGTTTTTGTTGTGCACCTCTCTGTCAAAAGGTAAATACGTAGTACATAATCATTATTTATTTATTAATAATATACTCTGCATGGTCTTACATTTCATAGTTCATGCATTGTTTATTCATTAATATAACCTGTGTTAATATGCACCACATTACCGAGAGCCCTTGTCAACTCCTCAGAAGCAATTAACTCCCAAGGTAACTATGACAACAAATCTCTTAATGCTTAAAGTGTAACAAAAAGATTGTGTGATTTGGATGTTAATTCAAATATTTCCCATACAGCCCCATACAGCCACTTTAGAAGGGAAGTGGTTTCTCACAAAACTAAGTATACTGTCACTGTAAGATCCAGTAATTGTGTCTTGGCATTTAACCAAAGGCATGGAAAACTGAGGTCAACACAAAAATCTATACATTGATGTTTATAGGAGTTTTATTCATAATTGCCCAAAGGTGGAAGCAACTTCAGTAAGTGAATGGATAAACAAACTCTGGTACACTCATACAATAGAATGTTATTAAGTGATAAAAAGGTACACACTATTTAACTATGAGAAGACATGGAAAAAAAAAAACCTTAAATGCCCATCGCTAAGTGAAAGAAGCCGATCTGAAAAGACTACATACTGTGTAAGCCGAACTATATGACATTCTTTAAAAGGCAGAATGATGAAGACAATGAAAAGTACAGTTGTTGCCAGAGATTTGCGGGGAGAAGGAGGGATCAATAGGTGGAGCACAGGGGATTTTTAGGGCAGTGAAACCATTCTGTAAAATGTCATGGTGGATATATGACCTTATACATTTTCCAAACCCATAGAATGTACAACACAAACAGTGCACCTTAATGAAACTGTTAATTTTAGTTAATAATAATAATGTATCAATGTTGGCTCATTAATTGTAACAAATATACCAGACGAATGCAAGATATCTTAATAATAGGCATGATGAGCTAGGGAGGGTTTAAGGAACTCTCTGTATTGTCTGCTCAATTTTCTTGTAACTGCCTCCCAAAATAATGTCTTTTTATTAAAGGAAAACATGCTGCTACCACTATATGCTTAGTGTCCTGTGCATTTCAAGTCTGGGTGGTATGTCTAGCAGAAATATATTAACATGTCCCAGGCTGATGGTATTGAATAAAGGATTTAGATGGCCATAAAAAATGGATTTTGTATAATGGATTTCTGAGTTGATAAGAAAGCAGTATGAGTATATCACCATAATACAAAACTTAGTGATTTGAAATAAGGCAAACATATCATCCATTTTGCCAGTGTAATGATAACACACACACTGTATAAACGGATATTGGAACATCAGTTTGTCACTGGGTGTTCAGGATGTAGAATATACATCAACTTAAATTTTCACATTTAGTAAAGCTCTAGCTTCCTCTTATGCTAGCTCCATAAATAAGACAAACTTTTTCTTTCATCCTCTCTGATGGCCAATGCCGGCCTAAACTCTTGCCTGTTAGGAATTAGTACACATCTCCTAGCTCAGAGACACCTACACGAGTGACTCTTGGCCAGTGGAACCTGGTTCACTGTGCCCTCCAGTGTGGGGCCAGGCATTGTTCCTCTCCCTTGCTTGGCATCCCAGTCTTGTGGGCCCTCTTTCAGTTGTTCATTCACTCCCTGCTTCCTCTCTTCACAAAAACTACTCTGTTGACCTTGGCTTAGAATTCTCTACCCACCCTCCACCCACCTCTTTATGCTGATCCTGTCCTTGTCCTGTCTTGCAAGGCTCAACAGTTAAGTCTCAGGGCAGCCTTCCCTCACCCTTCAGTCCTGCCGCTTTATATAACCATCCTGTAGACTCCTGCTATTTTCCATCAATCTGAGAGCCTCAGTTCCCTGGTGTGATAATGTGACTAAAGTCAGCCTCACCTAATTAAACAGGGAGCCCCCAGAAAGCAGGGCTCACTGTCATTCGGCAGTACCTGCCCTGAGTCTGGCCCGTCCCTGCTGCAGCTCAGGAGAACTCAGCAGCCCAAGACAGCACCTTCGTAGGGCTCAGCAATACAGCTTGAACTAAGGGAGGGAGGGAAAGAAAGAGGCAGAGAATAAATGAATCAACTTAGCCAGAATTTTATAGTCAGAAGATCTACAAAGAAGTGGCTTTAATTTCAGCATATATTTGCTTTTAAAGACAAAATGACATTTTAATGCTATTATTAGTGGTAGGGAATGGGTGAAATGTCCATGTGTTGGTGCTTGAGGTCACTAAACAACTTAACATAGCTCTGAGTAGAGGTTTCAAAGAGAGTTTTCAATGAAATGATTTGTTTTACAAAATAGGGCACATTATCTCCTGTTTTGTTGTGGAAACAAAACCCATAGAATAATTTCCCTTTTAAGCAATTCTTTGTTTCCATTGAGGGAAGCTGAACTCAGAATATGCCATGTTAGATCAGGAGAGATTCAGGACAGACATTGGGAAGAATTTTCTAGCTGGGGTGTTGTTAATCACTTTCCCACAGTAAAAAAGCCTGCACAGCAGCCTTTTTTTGATGAGAATTAAGGCAATAAGACAATTAATAGTCTAACCCAATAACAGCTGAATTGACCAGATATCCTTCAAGACTTCTGAGAGACTTCCTCAGCACATGGACTTGAGCTCTTACATAATGTTCTCATTCACAGACTGCATTGTGCCTGCAATCTCATGTGTTATTATTATTATTAGTAATAGTATTTTAGACGGAGTCTCACTCTGTCCCCAGGCTGGACTGCAGTGGCATGATCTCGGCTCATTGCAACCTCCGCCTCCTGGGTTCAAGCGATCCTCCTGCCTCAGCCTGCCAAGTAGCTGGGATTACAAGCGCCTGCCACCACACCCAGCTAATTTTTGTATTTTTAGTGGAGACGGGGTTTCACCACGTTGGCCAGGATGGTCTCGATCTCCTGGCTTCATGATCTGCCTGTCTCGGCCTCTCAAAGTGTTGGGATTACAGGCGTGAGCCACCGCGTCCGGCCCCATCTGTTATTATTCAAGGTATTTTAGTGCATCACCGCGCACACGATCTTGGGTCTTGCCATTATTTTGTTATCCCTGTACTTGAAGAAGAGAGACATTCTGACTGGCATTAACTCAACATTTTGTGTGATGGACTATTACATATGGCTCAGAACGCATTTTTGTTTGCTATATAGAAATGATCTTCTCTTCTGTGTGATAAATAATACAGCTAAAAGTCTCAGAATTAATCAAACTTACCGTCAATTAATTTCAAATTTTTGACTAGCTTCCTTAAGTATTTAAATTATTATGATTTGCAAAATAACCTTGAAAGTCATTCAGTCAAAATGGCTTTGAAATAAAATCATCATATGTTAAAGTAAGAAATTATATCCTACATAATAAGGACAATAGATACATTAAAATAGTCTCATCAAGTATTTGCCTTTAGTTAGTAGTTATTTCTCTAAGAAAGTATTACCTTCAATTTTGAACAAAGTTTTCTTTCTTTTTTTTGGCAGTATCAGCCTTTTGCCAAGCTGAACACAAGGGGATGAAAAGAAAATCTGGGCTCGAATGTGCAATTTCATATTTTCTGTTAAGGCAATTTACAACATATCATAAAGCTGCATTAATAAACAGATGTTCCACAGTCTGCAGAATATAAAATAAATGTCTTGAATAAGCTACGAAGACCAAGGCACTTTTCGGAGCAGATTTTTTTGTCTTAAAGTTTTATCTCATGCAAACACTGCGTATAACACAAACTTATATAATCAATGCTTTTAGCAAAATGTCATAGTAGAACCAAGGCCCAGTTGTTAGCTGAAATCTATATAAATATAGGTATGTAGAATAGTTAGGAAATATAAATATTAGCATATGCTCTTTATTGTTGATGATATCAATAATTCTTTTATGAACTCAGAAAAGTTTTTTCTCTTTATATTCAAAATGAAGTTTTCTAATTACTCTCTTTTTCACAGGGTTCTCCCCGTCTGCAAATTATACCCATTACAGCTATTTCTTTTAAGTAAATATCTCCTTCAAGTCAGTCTTAGTTTCTCCAACACCTAGACAATGCCTGGCACATGTAAAGGCGTTCAGAATACAAGTAAATGCATGCATAAAATGAACAAATATATTTACAAGATATTTATAGACATGTGATAGGAATGTGGGGGCCAGGAAGAGGGATTCTAGCTTTTGGGTAGATACAATTGCAGATAATAACAATAACTTACAAGGTGCCTAAAATATCAAGTTACCGTTCTAAATGTGTTAGATCTATTGGTTCATATAGTGCTTGCAAAAGCCCTTGAAGTATACTTTTGTTATACTTACCATTATATAAATAGAGAAACTAAGGCAGGGAGAGGTTATGTTGTTCCAGGTTCACGTGACAATTCAATGGCAGAGCTTGATTCAAATTTCATACTTTTAACTTACGTACAATTTTGCCTACCATCAAGACATTCTTCTTGCTGAATGGAACAAGGCCCTCAAAGGGAATTTATGGAGTACTATTACACATAAATAACTCTGAATATAAGTAATTCTTCTGTGGAATGATTTCATCTTATATTCTCAGAGAATGATGCATTTTATGTCAAATAAGTACAGGAGAAAGAAAATGATTTTATAAATATTACTAACACTATCCTAACAAATGGAAGAGATATGATAAACTTTACATTCTAATTTGAAATTTATGAAAATCATACACAAAACACTGTTTTGAGTAGACTCTATCTCTTATTTTTGTGAGGCCAAAATATCTAATACATTTATTTTATGAAATAAATGCTTAGGAATTATTTTATTTGTTGTTGTAAGGAATTATGCCTACTGCAATGGACAAAGCACTGTGATTAGTGTTGGGTCTTTTGGCTCAGACTAACCTAAAGGGAACAAAGAGGAACAACCAGATGGTGAAACGGAGGTTCCTCCATCCTCTGATAGCTTGACTACCATTGCATTTTAGTAAATCCTTAAATCATATACTATGATTATGACAACTTAATCTTTTTTGTAATTGATGATGGAGTTGATAAGTTCTTGTATACCCTTGCTTGTTAGATCAGCAGAGACACAGGACAGACATCAGGAAGAATTTTCTAGCTGGGGTGTTGTTAATCACTTGCCCACAGTAAGAAAAAGCCTGCAAAGCAGCCTTTTTTTTGATGAGAGTTAAGGCAATAAAACTATTAATAGTCTAACCCAGTAACAGCTGAATTGGCCAGATATCCTTTAAGGCTTCTCAGAAGCCTCCTCAGTACATGAACTTGAGCTCTTACGTAATTTTCTCATTCATAGTGACTGCATTGTGCTTGCAATCTCATGTCCTATTATTTAAGGTACTTAGTGCATCACTGCATACATGACCTTAGGTCTTGCCATTATTTGTAATCCCTGTACTGGAAGAAGAGAGACATTCTGACTGGCATTAACTCAACATTTTCTGTGATGAACTATTACATAGGGCTCAGAATGCATTTTTGTCTGCTATACAGAAATAATCTGTTAATTCTATGTGATAAACAATACTGCTAAAAATCTCAGAATTAATCAAACTTACCATCAATTAATTTCAAATGTTCACTAATTATTAGTGAGAGAGGAGTGTTGAATTATCTAAACATAATTGTACATTTGTTATTTCTTCTTTTAGTTCAATTAGTGTTTGCCTTTTGCCAAATTTGGGTAATTTTTCCTGTTAGGTTTTCAAAATTCTTTCAGCACTGCGCTCCTTTTCCTTTTCTCCTCTGAGACTCAGATGACATGTGTGTTGGAACTTTAGTTATTGTTCCTCAAGTCTCTAAGGCTCTAATCAAGACTTTTTCATCGTTCTTTCTCTCTATTGTTCAGATTAGATAATTTCTGTTGATTTATATTCACGATAACAGATTCTTACCTCTTTAGTTTTATTGTAATAAAAAGCTTACTTAGAATTTTGTATGTCAGTTATTGGATTTTTTGGTCCTAATATATTCATTTTGTTCCTTTTTACATCGTCTATTTATTTTCTGATACTTCTAGTTTTCCATTGGTATAAAAGTGTTTGCGGCCGGGCATGGTGGCTCACGCTTGTAATCCCAGCACTTTGGGAGGCCGAGGCGGGCAGATCATGAGGTCAAGAGATCGAGACCATCTGGCCAACATGGTGAAACCCCTTCTCTACTAAAAATACAAAAATTAGCTGGACGTGGTGGTGCATGCCTGTAGTTCCAGCTCATTGGTAGGCTGAGACAGGAGAATCGTTTTAACCCGGGAGGCCGAGGTTGCAGTGAACCTAGATTGCACCACTGCACTGTAGCCTGGGTGACAGAGTGAGACTCCGTCCCAAGAGAGAAAAAAAGTGTTTGCGACCACTTGTTGGAACATTTTTATAAAAGCTGCTTTAAAATCCTTGTGATGTAATTCAAATTTCTGTTTCTTCTCAGTATTGGTAGCTACTTAGTACTGATTGTCTTTTCTCATGTGGGGTGCAGTTTATCTGTTTTTTTTGTAATTTTGGATTGCGTCATGGACATTAAGTTTTGAGGCCTGGGTCTTCATAAAATATTAGGCGGATGGATGCTATTTTTGTTTTAGAAGCAATTGACCTTGTCATATTCAAGCTGCAAGTTCCAATCTCTGTTTTGTGAGCTGTGGTTCCAATAATCGAGTTTTCAAAACCTTTCCAGTTTGCTTCAGATATGTCCTGGTGGTCAGTGTGGAACTCGGATAATAATCTGCTAGCTTCGTTCTCAAAATCTTTGGTTAACTAATTAGGAGCAGATCCACACACATGCAGCTTGGGGATGCGCTCAGTTCATTAAAAACTTTATGGTGTCACTTTCTCATACTCCTTCCTCTCCACAATGTCTCCAATATTTTCTGTTTTCCTGGAGCTCCTCTTTTCTGTTTTCTGGCCAGAATGCTGGGTCTTTGATTACGGTACTCTGCTACAGTGTTTCATGGCTGCACCCATGTTTGGAGCCAGGTGACAGGTGGCAAAATGAGAAAAGACTTTAAAAAGTTTGCATCACCCTCTTGGGATCACTACTGCACCAACTGGAGAGGAAGATGCCCTGGCCTCAGGGTTTTGTTTCTCCTAGGCACCACCTACTGCTGCCAACACAGGAATTCTTGGGGGCCAGATCACAAGGGCTCAGAGAAAACAAACAACAACAAAACGGAGGGATTTCTGCATTCCCTCAGAGTAATAAGAGTCCTCTTTCCTGCCCAAACTTGTAGGGCTTATCCTTGATCTCAGCAATTGCTGAGAAACTGTTTCACCCTTTACATGGAAAACAGACTTTCTTGTTTGCCTCATCCCTACCAGTGTCTTTCTGCCTACACCTAAGTTCAATTACCAGCTGCCCTTTATCATTGAACTTAATGCTTTCTTCTCATAGTAGAATTAAGAGGAAAGTAAAATATTTTTTGTACCTATATCTTTATTATATTTAGACAAATCACAGAGTGAGAGAGTAGGGGTTTCAAGAACAATAGGAGAGAGACAGGGAAGAGAGAAAGAACTGCTTGTGGAAATACAGAATATCCCACATTTTCAATGTGGAAAGTGTATGAGGGTCTGAAAGAAAATACTCAGTTTTTTTTGTCCTGTAAGAGGCAGCATTGACAAATGTGTACCAGAGTTTGGGTACATTTGAGCCAGTTCTTCAGAATCGTGGGGTGGGAAATAGAACAAAATTATTTACACCTAATTCTAGGCAGATAAGTGTGCTTCAAGGAAAGGCAAGGGCCTGGCTAGATTCTAGATGTTTTTAAACTGGAGGCCAGAGACAGCTTTAGGGAGTCTATATACAGGCACAAATTTATTTCTTTTATATTCTTCTTGCTCTTTGAAAACGGTCTTTATGCAAATACACACTATATAACCAAAGTTTCTCTTTGTTCCAGGCAGGAGTAGGGCTGATTGGAGCCATTGTACAGTGTCGGGAACATACCAGGACACTGAGAATAGTGTCATGTCATAAGGACCCAGAGCAGATGGACCCTGCTGTGATGCACAAAGGTGAGGGTGCAGCTGCCCAGGACACACTCATGCATGTTTGTGTGGACCATGGAAGATGGCAGGGGAAGAGCTGTCAGGTTGTTGGGGCAGAGGGTGCGCATGAGTACTCGCCTGTAAGTCATGTTGTAGAATCACCTCTCACAGCCGCTGTATCTTCCCACCAGCATCACCAGATAACTCCTTTATCATCACTTCAGTAATGCTTGATTTTGGCTGACTTTTTTATGTTTACCAGTTCAGATAAAGAGAATTGCACTCTCATCATTGCTATAATGTACATTTGACTACTAATGAGTCTGAGAATCTTCAGATACATTTGTTAGTCATTAATGTTTTCTCTCTCTCTTTTTTCTGTTTTTTGAGATGGAATCTTGCTCTGTTGCCCACGCTGGAGTGCAGTGGCATGATCTCAGCTCACTGCAACCTCTGCCTCCTGGGTTCAAGTGATTCTCCTGCCTCAGCCTCCTGAGTAGCTGGGGCTACAGATGCCCCCCCACCACACCCAGCTAATTTTTGTATTTTTAGTAGAGACGGGGTTTCACCATGTTGGCCAGGCTGGTCTCAAACTCCTGACCTCGTGATCCGTCTGCCTCAGACTCCCAGAGTGCTGGGATTACAGGGGTGAGCCACCGCGCCCGGCCATGTTTTCTCTTCTTAATCTGTTTGTACTTTCATTTACTTTTTCTTTCCTCTATAATAAGAGGTTTTTATTTTGGATATCAATCTTTATATCTTCAATAATGTTATAAATATCTTTTTGTTCCCACTAGCTTTTCTTACAAACTTATTCCTAGTGTCTTGTTGCACAGAAATTTTATTTTATTATGGTCAACTTTGTCAGCCTTTATCTTTATAATTTGTATGGGGTTGTTTTCTTGTTTGCTTTTGATTTGTATAAAAGTGATTTTTTACCCTAAAGTCAAAAGTTAAAATTTAATGTTTTCTTCCTATTTCAGAGGACCACGCAAGATATGATAAAGATCTACATCACTGAATTTTGGTTCCATTTTTGTATCTCAGCTTCCAGGAAATAAAAAAGAATTCTAACATTCATACTTTCAGTATTTTATGTGAGAGGTTTTGTTGTCAAAATCAAGTCTGAGAGCAATGTTTGTTGGGGCCTTTAATTGGAGTCACCAAGCGATAAAGGGGACATTGTCCTCAACAATAACCCTATAATAAACACGTTTTGGACAATAAATATATGACAATTTCTTAAAAGCAATTTCTTGGGCAATCAAGACAGTATGGCTTGAGTATGGAGTTATACGATGGTTTGGATTAATCCAGTATTAAATCTTTGGTTATTACAGAAATCAATGGAGCCTATTCTTCCAAATAATCCTTAAATATTACTTATCTCAACTGAGATTTTGGTGAAAATTTAGCTTTAGAGCTTTTATTGACCTGCCAATGACCTGAAGTTAAGATTATTCTTTTCTACTGAATGAAGACAAACTACCTTATAAAAATTAACCCAGAAGGCTGTAGAGGTGATTTGTTTTCTTTATTTCTGATGACAGTTAAATAGCTTGACTAAAACTCTTGGTTCCCTAAATGGCTTTTCTGCTTTTGGATGGTGGTAGCCTGGGGAACGTAAGGAAAGCAGATATCTCCCAAAACTGGGAATAAAATACATGATTTATTCCAATACATTCCAGGAAACCCCATTTCCAAGCTCTTTAAACTAAAACATTACTGTAAACATGTTGGCCTAAAATTTTTCAGAGCTAGAAATGTTCAGAGCAATAGCTGCCAGTTGCCACCATGATGTTAGGAAATTCTCATTAATTCTTACATGACAGTTGTCTACATAGAGATGAAACACTTGACTAAATTGTCAGCAGCATAATTGTATCCATACAGACAGATAGAACAAATCCAATGCTGTGATGTAGTTTAAATGTGCACATGTTAACTGATTAGAGAGCTAGAAAATGGAGGGTATTTTTAGCAGCATATGATAAATATATTTCTGACTGTTGAATATTGTTTAACTGCTTTGTTCTAGTTACTGGGGATTATATAGTAGGAAGTAATACAGACAGATGTCACGTCCTGATGGGCCTTGTATTTCAGGGATGAAATGGGATTTTGTTGGCACCAAGACCTGATTGCTTTGCCAGTTACCCTCACCCCTGGCTCACAAGGAAAGTGTATGGAGGAGATTCTCGAGGAACCACATGAGTTTTAATATCATAAGCTTCTGCCCTGAATTGAAAGGTAATTTTTTGTTGAGGAAGGCTGAGCCACACTTATCCACAATGCCTCCTTTGGCATAGGCCCTAGATAACCCAAAGTGTGTTCTCTCAAACAGATGGAGAAAATTAGAGGATAGAAAATATCAAGATTGTTACTGAGGATGCTGCCAGCTGAACCACCATTTATGTTTTTCATAGAACAAAACTTCAAGGAGTTTAAGTAGTCAGAGTGTGGCCAGCTTTTCCTTGGAAGTATTTATGCAAGGAAGATGTTTTATATTCTGGAAGAGGGCATATGTGAAGGGCATTTCAGAATGATGTAAGGTGTATGCACAGGTCATGTGATGGAGTGGTCTGGGGTAGCAGGACATGTGACAGGCCTCGAATTTCGCCACTGCAAGCATGGAGCCCATATCCACAACATCTTAAAGCGCAGAAGCTGGGCTGTGGGGTAGAGTAGTTCAAGCCAAAAATCACAACTTGGTTTGCAAAATGAGAGGGAAGAGAAACTTCCCTAAAGAGAATTAGAAAAAGTAAAACTCATGAGGTAAAGCTGTATAGATTTGAAATAATAAATCCTTACAATTTTTACTTCCACTGGTCGATGGCAGGGTTTCTTAATCTTAGCAGTATTAACCTTTTGAGTCAGATAATTTTTAATTCTTCTTGCAGAGGAGAAGAGAGGGTACAGGCTGTTCTGTGCACGATGGCATGCTTAGCAGCATCCATAGCCTGTACTCATTAAGTGCCAGTAGCAACCCCCAGTTTTGACAACCCAAGATGTCTCCAGACATTTTCTTCCCTGGAGGCAAAAACAGCCCTGGTTGGGAAGCACTGGTTTATGAATAGAAATAAAACTGTAGTGTTCTCCAGCCAAACAAACAACAACAAAATTAAACAGCATATATTCAATTTATTGCCTTCCTTGGCTAGTACATAACTCACTACAATTAAAGCTTCCCATTAGAAATTCTTCCTGGGCTTAAAAAAAAAAAAGCTATCAAGAGAAGCAATTTAGTAAGCTGGGTTTTAGGAATATGCTCTTAATTTTGCCTAAAATGTGGCATGCAAGGGGAGAGTTATGTAATCATTTTAAGTAAATAAGTTTCATTAAAAAAAAAACCCTTAAAATGGTTTGATTCAAAAATACTGAAATCTCTTATCATAGAAGCATAAATCTGAATAGTTTGGTTATTTAAATATAACTTACTGTGAAATCATCAAGGAACATAGCTAATTGAACCTATCATTCTAGCCTACATCATCCTGTGCATTTCACAAAATCCTAATGAAAACTACACGAAGCTCAAAGTATAGATAAACATATCAGTGTTGACAACCGTGAAACCACGCTATCCAAAGGCTACGAGCTCTGAGGAATTCCTGTTAGCTACAGCACATGTAGGATCAATGAAGGAAGAAAATGAAGCCTCCTGGGAGACAAAATTATGCCAGGACAAAGCTGAAGAAGAGCAACACCTGTCGGAAATGTCCTAAGATAAATTTTGAAAGGTGCCAGGCTTGGAGGTGGGGCAGGCACCGCCGGAAGAGACACCTTCCCTTTGGGGCTTTCTTTGCCTGTGACAAGAACAGCACTTGATGCCCTTAGAATAGTTCCTGGAACATCTGAATAAATATCTGTGGAATGGCTGAATCAGGGGTGAGGACTGGTGTTCAGGTGGGGCCCCCTCAATAGTATGACCACAACGGAATCTCCACCTGGCAGGGAGTCATCCTGATGCTACAGGAGCTCGTCTCTGCATTAGGAGGTCCTGTTCTACTTCCAGTTGCAAATATTACATATATTTATGTATGTGAGTTCTTTTATATATATATACACGTATATACGTGTATATACGTATATATACACGTATATAATGTATATATACATATAGATATATACATATATATACACACACACATATATGTATATATATACACACACACACACACAGCCGCCCAACAAGTTCCCTTTGCCCGCTGCCTAGACAGAGCTGATTTATCAAGACAGGGGAATTGCAATAGAGAAAGAGTCATTCTTGCAGAGCCAGCTGGGCGGGAGACTGGAGTTTTATTATTGCTCAAATCAGTCTCCCCGAGCGTTTGGGGATCAGAGATTTTAAGGATAATATGGCATGGTCTCAGGAAGTGGGGAGTGCTGATTGGTCAGGTTGGAGATGGAATCACAGGGGGATCAAAGTGAGGTTTTCTTGCTACCTTCTGTTCCTGGGTGGGATGGCAGAACTGGTTGAGCCACATTACTGGTTTGGGTGGTGTTGATGGCAGCGGCCCATCTGGAGAGGCTGCTGCCAAGATGCCGGCTGCAGCAGGGGAGGCGCCGCAGGGCCGCGCGCTTTGTGGAGCCGGCGGGAGCTGAGAACAGGAAGGAAAGAGCCCTGCCGGCTTCTGAGCTGGTGGGGAGGGGACCCTGCAGTCCCAGGCGCAAGGGCAGCTGCCCAGCCATGGCTTCAGACCCGGGCATCCGTGTCCTCTCCGGCGGGGGTTGGGGGCGGTGGCGGGGGGTTGGGGGAGGGCACGGGAAGCCTATATTAGACCAAATATCATGTTATATTTTGTGTATTCATTTTTTAACCCATAACAATCCAAACTAGATTTTCTTACTGATTTATTTTGCTTGTTTATTAATCTCATTATGTAGAATATATTTTGGAAGTTGCCTTAATAGTTTTTAGAGGAAAACAGGATAAAAATAAATAAATATGTAAAAGATGCCAGTTTTCCTTATATGTATATGTAATGGTGTAAAAAAGCACTAAATAAAATAATCCGTGTAGTGGCTAGGGAAATAATTAAAGTTAGGTTTTTGGTCCAGGCGAGGTGGCTCACGCCTGTAATCCCAACACTGTGGGAGGCTGTGGCTGGTGATCACTTGAGGTCACGAGTTCGAGACCAGCCTGGCCAACATAGTGAAACCCTGTCTCTACTAAAAGTACCAGAATTATCCAGGTGTGATGGCGGGCGCCTGCAATCCCAGCTACTCTGGAGGCTGAGGCAGGAGAATCTCTTGAACCTGGGAGGCAGAGGTTGCAGTGAGGAGAGATGGCACCATTGCACTCCAGCCTGGGTGACAGAACGAGACTGTGTCTCAAATACAATAAATAAATAAATAAATAAATAAATAAATAAATAAATAATCAGGTTTTTGAAGGAATCGAGATTATAAAAGTATATTTCAGAAAAGGGTGCAGCAAATATCTTTTGAAAATTCAAGGGCAGAGGTATTTCTGGCAGAAGTAATGATATGAGACATTTACTACAATATTGTTTCTACTTATGCTTCTGTAGTTTACTAAAGACAATTATTGTTTCATTGGAAATGTAATTAATGAACGTGACCCTCAGTACCATAGATTGGGAGCCACAAGGCTGGCCCTGGGCTGACTGTGGTTGGACTCACTCAGGAACCGGCTTGGCTGGTCTCCTTTAAATAACTGCTGCCAGCTACTGCCAGGAGTTGCAGGATGGGAGGAAGGGAAGCTGACTGGCCCAGCTGATCCATAAACAGCCCTTTAATAGCACTGCAGTTGCTTGTGATGAGTGCCTGGGATTCTAGGTTTGTTTTAATAGCACTGCAGTTGCTTGTGAGGCGCGTGCCTGGGATTCTAGATTTGTTTTAATCTTTCTTTTGTGAGGGGTTTCCATCTCACCCTCAACTCTGTTCTTTGCATCGTTCGGGCTACACATCCCAATGTGTTCCCATCTCCTCCTGCCCTCTAGGGTGCTGAAGGTTTTGCATCCTGTTCTCAGCATGGACACATATCTTCTCTTTTGTCCATCACATGGTCATTTCAATAGGATGTTGGTAGAATAGGAAGAAGATGCACGTGTGTTTAACTAATCATTTTTAATTAGAAAGCCAGAGGTTGAATTGAAAAACAACTCATATTGAAACTGCATTTGCAATAATTATAACAGTGAGGAAATTATGGCAGTGGGG
Organism: Homo sapiens; assembly: GCF_000001405.40. Taxonomy (NCBI): domain Eukaryota; kingdom Metazoa; phylum Chordata; class Mammalia; order Primates; family Hominidae; genus Homo; species Homo sapiens. The sequence goes on along the minus strand of NC_000009.12, from coordinate 62,863,030 downwards.
AAGATCTAATATAGCCAACTTCCCTCTTATATTTTACCTTCATGTTGCCTTAATTATTACTGGGCTTAGGATGGGCTAGCTTTGGGAGACATGTAGTTTACAGTTTAAATAATAATAGTCCTTCTCCAAAACCCAACCACCTTTATAAAGCTAATGAGAGACCACCAGGCTGGGAGGAGAGGAGCCTGAATTCTGCAAAGGTGTAGACATAAAAGACTGCCAGCCATTATTCCAGAGGTCACGAGATATGCACACCTGTAAGTCACCAGTCAGCAGGAGCTATAGTCTTGGAAGGCCAGAGCTATAACCAGACATGTGCTCAGGAGAAAGGGGACTGCAGCAGGGTGAAGAGTGGGCAGCAGGAAAAATGTATCTCCACCTCCCAGGTTCAAGCGATTCTCCTGCTTCAGCCTCCCAAGTAGCTGGGATTACAGGAGTTCAAGGAGGTCAGGAGTTCAAGACCAGCCTGGCCAACATGATGAAACCCCACCTCTACTAAAAATACAGGCTTAAGATTTAAAATAAAATAAATAAAATAAAATAGTAAACATCCCTGCCAGCCTGCTGAATTGACCTTAGAGAGTAGGGTGTGTAGTGGGTGTGACTCTCACTGTCACCATTGCTAAGTGCTTACTGACATCTTTCAGTCTTGGGGACCCATCCTCTGCTAAACTCTGCCATAAGAAGGTCATACATCCCCACTGCCTGTGATGTCTCAGTTTTGTTTTCTCGTTTCCTCTTACCTTTATGCAATCAGTTTCTAGGAAGATGTTGTTTTTTTCTTTTTTATGATTGAAAGAATTTGGTTAGTTTGACCCCATACCATTTCACTTTCAGCACGTGCTCTCTACGGTTAATGTCATCCTTGGGAAGCCCGTCTTGAACACCTGGAAGGTTTTACAACAGCAACGGACCAAGCAGAGTTCACAGCTACTACATTCAGTGGGAAGGTTTTCCCAAGCACTACAATTAGGAGATAGCCCTCCTTTGTCCTTCTCCCAAACTAATGTGCAGATGAGCAGCATGGTAATCATGTCCAGCCACCCAAAAACCTATCAACAGAGGTTTGTTTTCCCATACTTTGACCTCTGGGGCAATGTGGTCATTGACAAGAGCTATCTAGAAAACTTGCCATCAGATTCACCTATTGTCACCATGGCTTTCCCAACTCTCCAAGCCATCCTTGCCCAGGGTATCCAGGAAAATAATTTTGCAGAGAGCTTAGTGATGACGACCACTGTCAGCCATAATGTGACTATGCCATTCAGCATTTCAATGACTTTTAAGAACAACAGCCCTTCAGGCGGCGAAACAACATGTGTCTTCTGGAACTTCAGGCTTTCCAACAACACGGGGGGTGGGACAGCAGTGGGTGCTATGTTGAAGAAGGTGATGGGGACAATGTCACCTGTATCTGTGACTACCTAACATCATTCTCCATTCTCAAGTCCCCTGACTCCCCAGATCCTGGTTCTCTCCTGGGAATACTACTGGATATTATTTCTTATGTTGGGGTGGGCTTTTCCATCTTCAGCTTGGCGGCCTGTCTAGTTGTGGAAACTGTGGTGTGGAAATCAGTGACCAAGAACCAGACTTCCTATATGCGCCACATCTGCATAGTGAATGTTGCTGCCTCCCTTCTGGTCGCCAACACCTGGTTCATTGTGGTCGCTGCCATCCAGGACAATCACTACATACTCTGCAAGACAGCCTGTGTGGCTGCCACCTTCTTCATCCACTTCTTCTACCTCAGCATCTTCTTCTGGATGCTGACACTGGGCCTCATGTTGTTCTATCGCCTGGTTTTCATTCTGCACGAAACAAGCAGGTCCACTCAGAAAGCCATTGCCTTCTGTCTTGGCTACGGCTGCCCTACCTGCCATCTTGGTCATCATGCTGGGAGCCACCCAGCCCTGGGAAGTCTATATGAGGAAGAATGTCTGTTGGCTCAACTGGGAGGACACCAAGGCCCTGCTGGCTTTTGCCATCCCAGCACTGATCATTGTGGTGGTGAACATAACCATCACTATTGTGGTCATCACCAAGATCCTGAGGCCTTCCATTGGAGACAAGCCATGCAAGCAGGAGAAGAGCAGCCTGTTTCAGATCAGCAAGAGCACTGGGGTCCTCACGCCACTCTGGGGCCTCACTTGGGGTTTTGATCTCACCACTGTAGTGACCAAGAGAGATGGAGAGAACGATGGTGTAAGACAGTATATAAGGACAGTAAGCCACTGTATTTGTGGAACCACTGCATGTCAAAACTCCTTAACACTCTAACAAGGCATTTTTGGTCTTTTAAGATTAAGGACAGTCCTTACATAAGGGACTCAGTTTCAAACTAAAGTACATCAAAAAGCAAATTATACTTCACAAACAACTTTAAAGAGGTAGCCACAAACCCAGTTGTTTTAGATTGGCCTTCTAAATGAAGTCAGCACATGGATCCATGTGTGAGTGTCATGGACGTCAGTGATTATGTAACTGTCACTGAAAGAAAAAGGCACAGCTCTGCAGACACCCAAGAGAAGCTGGCATGTTTAATGTGGATGTAGAAGGGATAATGTCCATGGCAAATGATTGGAACACAACTGTCAGCAGCCTCAACACAGGCTAAGACTGGGTTAAGCCCCAGGAGATGCAGAGAATGACTGAGGAAGCTGAGGTCTAAGGGCACAGTACAGAAGGTAGCTTGGAGTGTGCTGTGTTTCCTAGAGCCTTTTAAGTTGGGTGGTTGAGTAAAGGAGGGTGGAGGCAGGCTGTTCTACTTCCAATCCATGGATAAATCTCATTTTCTCAATGTAATACAGAGGCTGTTCTTCTATGATTGGCAAACACTATTTGTTCTTATCATGGAAACAGCATACTGCTATCAAGAAATAGGGAAAAGACAGTAAAAAAAATGTGTGGAAAGAATATGGAATACCATGCAGCCATAAAAAATGATGAGCTCATGTCCTTTGTAGGGACGTGGATGAAGCTGGAAACCATCATTCTCAGCAAACTATTGCAAGGACAAAAAACCAAACGCCGCATGTTCTCACTCATAGGTGGGAATTGAACAATGAGAACACTTGGACACAGGAAGGCGAACATCACACACCAGGGCCTGCTGTGTGGTGGGGGGAGGGGGGAGGGATAGCATTAGGAGATATACCTAATGGAAAAGACGAGTTAGTGGGTGCAGCAAACCAACATGGCACATGTATACATATGCAACAAACCTGCACATTGTGCACATGTACCCTAGAACTTTAAGTATAATAAAAAAGTGTGGAAAGAATAATATGGGTTTCTAACTGAATGCTTGCTTTTGAAGAGCCCAAAAACAAACGAACAAAAAATTCTAAGAGCAGCAAACATCTACGTCTGTTATATTACTGAATTACTCATTTTTAAAATCCTTATTTCATAGGAGAGATATTTACAATTTTGAATTACAACGTTTGAAAAACTTTGAAAATAACCTGAAAGGGGAAAGTTGACCTAAGCCATTTTATTCTCTTAAAAAAACCCCAGACTTTTGTATAATAGTAATCCCTGAACTGAGTATTTTTGAAGGTTTTTCAGATAATCTGATGTGCAAAGTTAGTTTGTTTTACTATTTAGTTGTTTGGAATAGTAGAGCATTATATGAGGCTCTTACTGGAGGCTTAATGGTATTAAGAGATTAAAAGCTTTCACATTGTTTTTTACATCTATAAATAAAACAAGTTGTTATCATTTTGTAATATTTAGCTTATATACATTTTTGTGAGAGTTTTGTGGGACTTGGAAAGTGTATGGACTAGCATCAGACACAAATTATTTTTCCATCTTTCTCACTTGGAATTTCAGATAGCAGCATTTTAATCATCTCTTCCATTAAACCAAGATTACACAAAAGCGTTTGAGGACACTGAGGACTGGGACTTCTAATTTTGCTTCAGAAACCAGTACTCAAAATGTCTGGTTTGGAGGTCAGTTACACTGCTGTCTTTGTATAATCAGCCATTAAAGAATATTTTGGGGACATTTCTCAGAAGTCTCATCCCCATATTTTTGTTCTTAACACATCTCACCACAAACTCTACCACACCTATGGTTTGCAAACTTTGGGAAGTGTCAGTATATGTCATTATCATGGTTATTAGTACTATTATTTGTTAAAAGCCCTTTGAAGGCAATTTATGCGACTTATATATAGTTAGTATTTTAATTTGGACATTCTCCAGTTATATGCAAAGATTAAAACTCGGCAGCTTCATTTTATAGAATTGGCATCTTTTATATGGCTATGGGGACTGCTTGGTGTCTATAAATTATTATGTATATTTGTTGGACTGAAATCAAACTTAAAATCTTCCACATTTCAAGTGTTTTTATTCTGAGCAGTATGTACAAAAAATAACGCCATAGTTGTGTTAATTCTGTATAGTTCAGGCACCCTCCACAGGCTGTCAATCTCTGATTTGATCTACTTTTACCAGATTTAACAGATCCTTGAATTTACTTTACTGTCTATACTTCCTTTTTGCTCACATTGGGAATCAGACTAAACATGCGTCTACTTCATTGAGGAACTCCAGATTGAGACATGCTGGGATTGACTCCATGGTTAGGGAAGATGGATGAAATGGAAACAAAACAGGAAACATTTGCTTGGCATCTAATAGCAGTTGCTGAGGGCCATTCTGCTCTTGTAGTTGTGCCTGGATCATTTGTATAAAGGCCACTGTTACCTGTTCTTCAAATTCATTCAGGGGAGGCTAAAGGTTTAAAATTTTGACAATCTGCTGGGTGCTGAGAGAGGCACACAGGGAGCAGATGGCCTCTGCATCCTCCTGGGTTTTCTTCTTTAATTGCAGGAGCTGGGCTGCTTGGATCAGAGGTTCCATGGTCTGAACTACTCCACTCTGGTGAAGGTTTCTTCCCCAAAGCCACTCCTCAAGCTGACTTATATTGTACCTGAGTTGCATGCCTGTGCTCCAAGAGCAGACGTCCTTCCGCAGGAGCAGGTCATTAAGAGTCACTGCGTTGATCATGTAGAAGAGCTGTTTGAATACCTGCAGGATGATCTCAGGGTCCAAGCCCTGGTCACACATGACTGTATGAAAGGCATTCATCTGGCGGATGATAGCTTCCAGGCGGTATGAGTTATCCCCATCTGCCATGCTGGAGGAGTGCTTCTGGGAGCCAGTGGGCTTCACACCAGATAGACCCTGAATGCTGTCATTTTCCAACATGGCAGAAACTATCATCGGCTGTAACACACCCTCGGCAATTTTAAAGAGCTGCTGGTAGATCTGAATGGAAAGGTCGCTCAGTACCTGACGGTATTCGGTGAGGTCAAAGTTCTTAAGGCAGTGTTCGTTGTGCTTTGCTGTATTCTGAGTCATGAAGCCCTCATCCCCGCTGTACCGCTTCAGACAGTGAAGAAGGTGGCAGGTGTTGGATAACAGGAATGACGTCATCTCAAAGTCATCACTGTGCTTCTTCAGGACTTTCTTAATGCCGTTGGTGGTGGAGGTCATCAGGGAGTGCACCTTGAGATCATCGTTGGTTTGGTCCGCGAGCCGAATGCACATGTAGAGGATGTAGGCGGAGAGACAGGGCACTGTGTCCAACAGCATCTGGGGCTTCAAGTCTGTCACCAGGTTGAGGATGAGGAGGGCCTCGCCCTCTTTGCGGCACTCCAACATGCCCTGGAAATCCTTTTCTTTCCACTGAACTGGGACCTGCCTGTTGAACTCATGGCGCTTCCTCTCACTCTGGGCCAACGCCTGGGCAGCTTCTTCATGTAAATCTTCAGTTGCTTTTAGAGCTTCCTCTCATTCTTTTCCTCTTACTTTATTTTTCACCACAGAGCTTCCTATCAACTAGTATGTTGAATATTTTGCTTATTAACTTTGTTTATTGTCTTCTCCCTCGATTAGAATATTAGCTACTTGAGTACAAGGATTTGAGCCTGTTACATTCACTGCTGAATTTTAGGCTCCTGGAAGATACCCAGCATTCAATAGAGACCACACAATAAATATATGTCAAATAAATGAGTCTGTAAGTTCATCAATTTATTTGCCCCTATGCATTAACTTTTGCCCATATAAATCCAATAACTCTTGTTATATGAAATCAACTGTACTATTTGCTTCATGTAATAGTTTAAAAATACATGTGTGTATATAAATATATACAGAGATCATAGACCTAACTCCATCTATATATGTGTGTATGTGATATATATAAATATATACACACATATATATGACTGACATATATATAAATATATACACACACATATATATGACTGACATATATATAAATATATACACACACATAGATATGACTGATATGTATATCTATCTTGTGTAAGTGGAATCAGGCAGTATTCAAACATACTTTCAATTAGTAATGACTATAGTTTAAATAAGAGAAAGTTTAAAGATTCTGATAGTTTAAATAAGAGAAAGCAAACATCACTACTACTAGTATTTGGGGAAAAAGATTACAAATAGAGATATTATGATAAAAGCATACAATATTTTTTATGTTTGTGCACTTAGATCCATGTTCAAACTTTGGCTCACCTATACATGTATAGCACATTGGAATATGTGCTACAGTATGCCATTTATAAAGGCTGAAAATAATAGTTTATAAACATTATTATTTATTTAGCAACCTCATAAGCTTGGTTTCAAAAATACCTGAATTACATAGCATAATCCCAGTGCTGGAGAACAGAACAGTAGCTGCCAAGGGTTAGGGTTGGCTGGAAGATGTGATTAGTGAGGGATAACGTGAAAACGTGTACTTTGTTTGTGGTGATAGAGCAGTTCTGCATCCAGATAATGGTAATGGTTACATAAATCCACACTTCATAGATCTATACACACACATCACACATACATTCAAACACATCTGTACATGTAAAATCCTTAGAAATATGAATAGGGTCTGAACCTAAGTTAATGGTATGGAAACAATGTCAATTTCCTGATTTTGGCAATGTACTAGGTTAAGTTAGATATAATCATTGGGGAAAGTTGCCTGAAAATAGCATGGTCATTCATTTTACTTCTTTTTTTAACTTCTTATGAGTCAAATTATTTTAAAACAAAAGGTATTAAGCAAAGACAAAAATTTGAAAGTTCAAAAATCAAAGCCCATATGAATTTGGACATATTATTTGATTTCTTTTGTAGACCTTGATTTCTTCACCTGTAAAAATGGAATAATAGTATGATTCCTATCTCATTATTGCCATGCTTAAATCATATCACTTAAGTAGGTGCCTGTATATATATATATATATATACACACACACATATATCTATATATATGACTGACTTTGACTGACTTAGGTCTATGATTTAAGATGTGGAAATTGGAATTTACCAGAACATTTGTGAATTGATTTGTTCTTATGCTTCACCAACTGTCATGGTAAAGGACACCTTAGCCCCAGCTCATAGTATGAAAACACGTAAATGCTTCTATGTGCCCTAAATTTCTCTTGGTTAAGCTTTATACTTTTTTTTTTTGTTTATGACACAGAAATATGATCACAAAGCACATGTGTACCACAATACAAATTTCATGTATTTTGTCTCTGTATTATGTTTTCTTTCCATTTATGTCTTTTCAAGCTAACAATTCCCAATCTCCTAATACAGTGGGCCTTTCAAGCACTTACTTCTTTAGATAGTCATGTTCTTTTAACTAGGATCTCATAGATAAAGTTATCAAAGCATGGAAAAGGATGAAGAACCTTGACTCCTTCCCCTCTCCATCCCCCACTGAATTCAATTCGTCCCAACCTTGTATTTGTTTTATTTTTCTGGAAAAGAAAATATAGTCATCACCCTCAATAAATATACAATCTAGTTAGAGAGATATGACTTCAGAGTAGGATTTCTTAGTTTTGATTTTGATTATCTTCCTTTAGATATTTGGAAAGACCAAAATGCTGTATGCTTATGGACTGCAAACAGTATGAGTGGAAAACAAAAGTAATAAATGTTACTTCTGACTTTATTATAATGTTAGGATTGTTAATAGTTAACAATTACTTACTGAAGGAAGATTTAAATTGAATATTTCTAAATGGGAAAGATTTAAAAAGCAGGTGAGTCCATAAATTTTAGGACCCAGAATCTACTGAGCTAAAAACTCAATGAGAGTTAATTCTCTGTTGGTGTTGTAGCAATTCTTGAGGTTATTTGTGAAGACTCACATGAGAGCTAAACAATAAAAGAGGACTGAGACCACTTCAAGGGATGGAGAACACCTTCCTTTCTTGTTCAGATGATGCTCTGAGACATTGCTGTTTATTTTGACTGCCTCTTTTTAAACAAACTTCCACTTAGGAACTTAAAAACCACCTGTAAACCAACAGCCACAAAAAAGTGGGGAACTCAGTGTTTAAGCATTATTGTTCACCAGACACGGTACTGGGCACTTACATAAATGGTATGGTTTAAGCATGACAATAATGAGATAGAAATTCTACTATCATTCCATTTTTACAGGTGAAGAAATCAAGGTCTACAAAAGAAATCAAATAATATGTTCAAATTCATAAAGGCTTTGATTTTAGAAATTTTAGATTTTTTGTCTTTGTTTAATACCAATTATTTTTAAATAATTTGACTCACAAGAAGTTAAAAAATAGTAAAAAGAATGACCGTGTTATTTTCAGCCAACTTTCCCCAATAATTATATCTAACTTAACCTAGTATGTTGCCAAAATCAGGAAATTGACATTGTTTCCATACCATTAACTTAGGTTCAGACCCTATTCATATTTCTAAGGATTTTACATGTACTCTTGTGTAGGTGTGTGTGAGTGTATGTGTGATGTGTGTGTATAGATCTATGAAGTGCGGATTTATGTAACCATCACCATAATCTGGATGCAGAACTGCTCTATCACCACAAAGAAAGTACATGTTTTCATGTTATCCCTCACTAATCACATCTTCCAACCAACCCTAACCTTTGGCAGCCACTGATCTGTTCTCCAGCACTAGGATTATGCTTTGTAAATCAGGTATTTTTGAAGCCAAAGCTCATGAGGTTGCCAAATAAATAATAATATTTTATAAAATGTTATTTTCAGTCTTTATAAATGGCATACTGTAGCACATATTCAAATGTGCTATACATGTATAGGTGGCAAAGTTTGAACACGGATCTAAGTGCACAAATATAAAAAATATTGTACACTTTTATCACAATATCCCTATTTGTAATATTTTCCCCCAAAAGCTAGTAGTAGTGATGTTTGCTTTCTCTTATTTAAATTATCCGAATTATAGTCATTACTAATTGAAAGTATGTTTTAATACTGCCTGATTCCACTTACATAAGATATCTAAAATAGTTAAACTCCTAGAAATAGAGTAGAATACTGGTTGCCAGGGTCTGGAAGGAGGGGAAATTGGGGTAGCTGTTCAATGGGTATAAAATTCAGTTATAACAGATGAATAAGTTCTAGAGATCTGCTGTCAACAGAGCACCTATAGTTAACAAGATTCTATTGAGCAGTTAAAAATTTATTAAGAGGATATATCTCATGTTAAACATACTTCATTAACAGAAAAAAAGGGAATATTTTACACATAAAATTACATATATGCCTCAATTTCACATTTCGTTTCACAAATTGTACTGGTGCTTAAAAGGTATTTTTGCATTAAAAAACATCTAACTGAAGGAAAAGTTACAAATGAGTGATCATTCATAAATACAATATAATCCTAGGGACCGCTGTTTTTCCATTTTGAACACCCTCCACAATTAGTCTTAATAATTATGTTGACTGAATGCAAAATAATGATTTCTCAAGAGGCAATAGAAAATAGAGAATAAGTCCATTCTTGAGAAAATATATAATTAGTGAAAGTAATTTTTTCATCCTCTTTTCTTATTTAAATCTCAAGTACTCTCTGCCACTCTGTGCTCTTCTTTCTGGGGTAAAATATGCCAGCTATCCACCGTCAGGGCATTCTCTAACCACTCCTCCCTAGAGATGTCTACAGACTTTTACTCAGCTAGACTGTCTTGTTGCCTGTCTTCATATCAACTTCGCAAGACGTGTGGACCATTCTCTTAGGCCCCTGCATGGCAGTGCATAATATATTCCAAGCTAATTATCTAATGAGGTTCACTAAATTAATCTTTTATTATACCACATAAAATACTCTTAGATCTAACAGTACAAACATTTCCAATTATGGGCCGGGCGCGGTGGTTCACGCCTGTAATCCCAGCACTTTGGGAGGCCGAGCTGGGCGGATCATGAGGTCAGGAGATCGAGGCCATCCTGGGTAACATGGTGAAACCCCGTCTCAACCAAACATACAAAAAATTAGCCAGGTGCGGTGGCGGGCGCCTGTAGTCTCAGCTACTCACAAGGCTGAGGCAGGAGAATGGCGTGAACCCAGGAGGCGGAGCTTGCGGTGCGCCCAGATTGCGCCACTGCACTCCAACCTGGGCGACAGAGGGAAACTCTGTCTCAAAAAAAAGAAGAAAATTCCAATTACATCACTCCTTTGAATTACATCCTAAGACTAATTAAAAGAGGGTATCACAAAAATAGAAATGATAGCGACAGAAAATGGTCCCAATTTTCACTGCACTGTTGCTAAGACCACCTTGCCACTCATCATTATAGAATGCCTTTCAGGTAACATAATAAGAGCCATTTTTAAAATGGAACCTTACTATACCCATGTGTGACAGGCAGAGGGACTCTATTATTATTCATAGTTTACAGATGAAGCAGTTAGATTTGCCCCAGGTCACTGGCTTATTCAATGACAGGCTAAGACAGAACCAAGTTTTATTCTCAAATAAGACCATAAAGAAGAAGATTGATCCAAATGACTTATAAAATTTTCTTACAGCCCCAGTAACAATCATAGATAAGCTAATGATTTCTTTAATAAAAATCTGATATGACAAGTAGAATGTGACAGAATCAACATGATCAATTAATCAGATTTGGGTAGTAGTTTGGTAGCTAAATGTTGGATACTCTTGGACATAAAGATGACAGTATTTATGACGATAAGGATGAGCATTCCACAGTTTGAGAATTTCTACAGAGAGAGAGATGAAGAAAATTTCTGAAGTAATTGAAACTGTGTGAAGATGAATTATTTGGTTGATGAACTGCTATCATTCTAAATGGACTTCACTTTCTCGAAAAATAACGCATAAAGATGAAGTATGTATTGAATGAAAATTATATTTTGTTTTTCCATTTTTTACCTAATAAAAAAATCAGAAAAACAGATTTTTTTCAAAAAAAGAAAAGATGACTATAATAGACAATGGAGACTAGTAGAGGCAGTAGGGAGGGCAGCCAGGGTTGAAAAACTACAGGGTACTAAGCTTCGTATCTGCATGATGAGATCAGTCATACCCCAAACCTCAGCATGGCACAATATACCCGGGTAACAAACCTGCCTAGACATTTGTGTAAAATGAGATGATTGCAGGGTAGTTTTAAAAGTCATTCCCCTTATGAAAATATGGAATGTTGTGTACATTATTTCATAGACTTTGTGCTTAGTTAAAGGTCTTAACCAAAAATTCTAAATGATTTCTCCTATTAATAAATAAATATCAATAACATCATTTTAATGAGCTCTATGAAGACCTTATTGTGTGATTGTATCATAATTCAACAAGTGCCCTATTGTTGAACACTTAGGCTCTTTCTGATTATTTCCCTTTACAAAAAATGCTATATTATAAATTGTTGTATGTATTTTTAAGTTATGAAATTTTTAGGGCAAAAGGTGAATAAATGTAAGGTCTTTGATAAATACTGTCAGAATTCTCTCCATAGAGGATATGATAAAGCATCTTTTCATTTGAAGGAGCAAGAAAAACTGCTAAATACTTCTGAGACTTCCAGTACTTTTTTGGTTTTAAGTTTTTTTGTTGTTTATTTGGTTTTTTGGAGGTTTTCTGTTTTGTTTTATAAGTAGGTTTCAGTATTACTAAGTATTCAGTCATGGTGGATATTCGAAGAATAATTTCTCTCTTTGGGATTATTCCTCTAACACTATGAGCAAGTATCACTGTGTTCTTTCTCTAAAGGAAAATATGAAGCATAGACAAATTAAATGCTGCTCAGATTCTAAAACTATGAAAATATAACAATGGAGAAACAAATAGCAAGTCTGTAGCTACTCAGTGACTTTAGCATTGAGTGGATCCTAAAATGCCTATTTTGCACAGAATGAAAAAGATACAGCAGGTTCCTTTGGAAGATCAAAGTGAGAAAATTGACTACAGCTTTAACAGCCTTAAAATAAATTTTTGGCAGAATGGAAAAGTATGCATAATTGAGAAAAGTACACTAATCTGTAGAATAAAATAGATATAAAAACAGGCTAAACCGTAATGCTGCTGCCTGTTCTTTTCACAACAATCTTCCACCTGTCCCTGACTGCTGTGTTTAGGGAATCAAAGTTTAGAGCTGAAAAAGTAGGAGGTTGGAGAGTTTAGGAGGAAGGCAGTGTAGGGCTGTGTAAATTGCAGAGAAGTCGGAGCCAGAAGACTTGAGTGGCATGCGATTGTGGATGGGCTATGAAATCTGGAAGCCTGCCTTTAAATACCAACTCAGACATTTACTAATCCTATGATCCCAGGCAAATACCATATCCTCTCTTTGGCTCAGTTTCTACATTTTTAAATAGAGATAAAAATAGTGCCTTACTGCCAGGCGCGGTGGCTCAAGCCTATAATCCCAGTAGTTTGGGAGGCCGAGGCAGGCGGATCATGAGTTCAGGAGATCGAGACCATCCTGGCTAACACGGCGAAACCCCATCTCTATTAAAAATGCAAAAAATTAGCTGGGCGCGATGGCTCACGCCTATAATCCCAGCACTTTGGGAGGCCGAGGCGGAAGGATCACGAAGTTAGGTGATCGAGACCATCCTGGCTAACAAGGTGAAAACCCATCTCTACTAAAAATGCAAAAAATTAGCCGGGCGTGGTGGTGGGCGCCTGTAGTCCCAGCTACTGGGGAGGCTGAGGCAGGAGAATGGCATGAACACGGGAGGCAGAGCTTGCAGTGAGTCGAGATCGCGCCACTGTACTCCAGCCTGTGCGACAGAAGGAGACTCCGTCTCAAAAAAAAAAAAAGTGCCTTATTTTCCCAGTGCCTGACTCATATTATTTATTAAATATTAGCCATTCTTTTATTATATAACTAGATTGGAACTGGGCAGGTCACCTTACCTTGTGTCTCAATTTCTTCAACTGTAAAATGAAGTAGTTAGACAATGTGAGCATGTGATATCACAACTAGATGTGAAAGTCTATGGTCCTATCACAACAGCAACAACAACAAACTCACTGGATGCTATCATGCTACCATTAGAGTAGGTTTGGAAATGATCCGAAGCCAGCAAAGTGAATATGAAAATAAAGAATTCAAAGCACAGTAGGGGAGAAAAGGAGAGAGGGGAAATAAGAAAAGTCACTTCTACAGATAGATTTTTTACATCTACATTTATCATCTGATACTATATCAATATGATTGATTGCATAGGCAATAAAGTTACTATAAAACAGTCATTTGTGCATTGCAAGAAGAGTGGTTTTTTCCAACTTCCCTTTGTAAACCAATAAGTGAATGAGGCAGATCTCAAGTGATTTAGAGATTTTGCTTTGCAAGGTGGAGGATACACCTGGGAAAAAGGATCACAAGTCACAAGTAGGTGATGTCCTGTGCTTTTTCTAAAGAGGGTTTTGGGAACTTCAATATTTAAAGGAGAAAGAGGAAGCAGGCAGGAAATTAAAACAGGGGAGGAAAAGAAGGAGAGAGGGAAGGCAAGAAAGCTAATGGCTACATTCTTGTGAGGCTCTGATTAGTGCTCAGTGAATCTATATGTTACATGTGGCAAAAACAGGAGGAAGGAGTCAGTTGTGCATTCATCCTCTCTCTCAGGAAATCTACATTTTACGTAAGTTAAAGTAAGCATATGAAAGTACAGCTGTTTGGGAACAAAAGGATGGCAGTTTTTGCATGACTCACGTTCCAAGCTTAATTTTCCTTTGTCATAGTGAGTTTGGGGTCCTGAGATTTTATTTTCCTTTCACACTTTCTACCAATATAAAGCTTCCTCATAGATGCCTTCTTTTTTCAAACATTAACAACCCTCATGGTTTTCTCTCATTTTAAGTACAGAAAACATAATACTGTACAATAATTTTATCTGTCTTAAATACAAGACTGCTTATGATTCACTTAAAATAAAAAAAATGGCTCCACATTTCTGGCTTTTAGTTGGATTATGATTTCAACAAAAAATCAGAGCTTTTTAACCTTGAGTTTGAGTTTCACACACCCAGTAAAGTGGAAATATAGACTTTTTCTTAGGACAGTGTTATGACACTCAAAAGAATCGTGGCCAAACTTAATTACCTGTTGCAAACATCATTGCAGTTTTTTACTGAACTATCAGAGACTTTCTTGTGCCTATCACAGTGTATATGCTAAATACATATTACAGGGCCAGGCACGGTGGCCCATGCCTATAATCTCAATGCTTAGACAGGCCAAAGCAGGAGCATTGCTTGAGGCCAAGATTTTGACACCTGCCTGGGCAACATAGCACAACCCCATCTCTAATTTTTTTTTTTTTAATTAGCCAAGCATGGTGGTAGGTGCCTGTAGACCAAGACACTTGGGAGGCTGAGATGGGAGGATCAATTGAGCCCAGGAGTAAGGTTACAGTGAACTATGATCACACCCCTGCACTTCAGCCTGGGTGACAGAGTGAGACCCTGATTCTAAAAATAAAAAATAAATTAAAAATACATAAATACATAAATAAGTATTATGGAATCAACAAATAAATAAATTGAAAAAAGGATTGCATAAAATTACTTAGTAATGAGGCCTTTGTTGTCTATCCTTATATAAAATAAATCCCCAGGCCCCCACATCCCCCTTACTGTTCTTATTTTTCTCCATACCATTCATAGTCATGTTATACTACATATGTATTTGTTGATGGTCTTTCTCTTACTGGTAGAATGTAAGCTCCATGATAGAAGAGACGTTGTTGATGTTTTCCTTTGTATTTTTTTCACTGCTTAATTCCCAGTGCACACAGTAAGCACACAATAAATATTTACTGTATGGATATTTAAGCAAGTCACTTCCCTCAATTTCTTCAAATTATTTATGTCACTTTGAAGGTAAAATCTCTCTTCTATACATCATTTTTCCTTCAATCTCCACTTTTAATATCTGTCACTGGCAAACGTAATAAGTATACTCATTGTTCAGGTCAATAATGAGAAATTTAAGCACTTTATTAAATATTTATTGAGTGTTCCTCTATAATGGACACTCTACTATACATTTCTGCCTTATTTGTGGAATGTATTCAATGTAATTATGCCACACAGGTAGACTTCCAGATCCTTGTGTCAAACTTACTTTCCTTGGCTTTGTTGGAGAACACATACTGTTATGAAGCTCACTTTAAGGCAAATATTTCCTGAAAATACAAAACTGATAGATATATGTATGTAGGTTTCCTTCTTATATGTCTTTTACAAGCAATGAAGTTGTATATCTCCTTTAGTGTTTAATGTGTTTCATCAGATAATGCCCTAGAAGTTTTATCAAATTTTTCTGTCCATCTTTTGAAGGTGTATGAGAGTGAAAAAATGCAGTCTGCTGCTTCACTAATAAAACTAGGACAAACGCCACTCCAACTGAAATATGTGAAACACTTGGTTTTATTAATTTGAAGCATTTTAAACCTCTAAATTTGGACTCGAGTAAAGACATTTCATAGAAAAACTGAAATATTTTTTGTTTATTTTTTAATCTTGATAACTTGTAATAGTTTACAGCCACAGTGGCAGCTTTTATATGTGTACATGCATTTAAATACAGTTTCATAAATAGCCATGTGGCAAAATATCTGCCTCTAGGCAAAAAAAAAATATTTGCCACTAAATGAACATCTTTAAGTAATATTGAAAATAGATGTGAGGTAATTTTTTATCTAAAGTGACTGTAGCCTATATTAAGACATACTCACTGTAACAATTCAAGTTTTAAAATCCTTGTTTTATAACTCAAAAATGTGTCTTTTCCAAAAAACACATCTTTACATTTATTGCTATTGTACATTCATTTGGCAGGAAACAGGGATGTTTGATGTCTTGCAATGATAAAACAATCATATTCAATAGAAAATTATCTCACATTCTGCATGACTTTTGAACATTCTATAAGATAATTACATAAGTGAAAAACCAATTTGTAGATATCTGAGTGAGTACAACCATTTAATAAATGTGAATAAAGCATTTCAGAACATTTTAATGTACACTGCATTTTCTGATAGTAAGATTTTAGGTTAAAATAAGATTATACTTTAAAAAGCTTACCGTTATGAAAAAAAATTATATCACTGTTGGCAATGCCTTTTTCATATTTGAGATGCTAGTCCAACATATTGCATATCCATTTGTTTTTGTTTGACTTTATTGTTATTACATTCATGGTAATACTAAAATACACACACACACAATTACTTAGGTTTTTTTTTTTCAATAAAAAGCCCAAAGAAAAATGCTGACAACGTTCAGTTGAAATTTTGAAATTGGGTTTTATAATTCTGCCTACATAGCAAAAGCTGAAATGGTCTATGAAGATGTAGTTTTTGAAAGAATGAAGCAAGTAGTAAAACCAACAAAACCAAGTGAAAATTATACAAGGAAACACAATAATAAGTTAACAAAAAAATACACTTTTTCTTCATGTTGACAAGACATGATTTATTCCTTTCTAATATTTTCCCATCTCTTATAAATATATAAGCTTGCTTGCTAATACTTTGTCTAACTCTAATTTTTATTCTGTTACCAATGTCATTAATACTTTATTTTTCTTTATTTCTCTTGTAAAGTGACTTCTGAACTTCCTAGTTTGTTTAAACTATCGCAAGGTCAGAAAACCAAACACTGCATATTCTCACTCATAGGTGGAAATTAAACAATGAGAATACTTGGACACAGGCAGGGGAACATCACACACTGGGGCCTGTCATGGGGTGGGGGGCTGGGGGAGGGAGAGCATTAGGAGAAATACCTAATGTAAATGACAAGTTAATGGGTGCAGCAAACCAACACAGCACATGTATACAGATGTAACAAACCTGCACGTTGTGCACATGTACCCTAGAACTTAAAGTATAATAAAAATAAATACATAAATAAAATAAAATGAATAAAAAATAAATACAAACATATTAATCATAAGTAAATGAAACATCTGATAATCTCATTATGTCTGGTAGTAATGTCACCTCTGAGTATTTAAATATTCATCTACATATTTCTTTGCTAAATTTCCTTTTATTTCTCCTTTATATTAAACTTTTTTTTAGAGAGCACAACTCCAAAGCATCTTTTATTAATATAGAAAGGTCATATTTAGCAAAAGACACAAGGCAGGGAAGTGTCAGGCCTGAGGCCTGAGCTGTGCTGAGGGAGAAAGAGGCTCTGGACAAGTGCTGGGAAGGGCTGAGTGGTGGGCGCCACAGAAAGTTCCAGTGGGCAACACTGTCTGCAGGTCATGGGTGGGACTCACGGGGACCTCGCTGCTAACTCTTGTTGCGTTGGCGGGGTGGGGTGGGGAGGGGGGTCCTTAGTGCTGCCACCTGCAGTGAGAACCGCCCCTTGGTTCCTGGAGGGCACCCATCAAGGGACACAGGACAGGAAGCCCAGGATGGTTAGTGCAACTAGGGATGAAGGCCAGGGAGAAGCAGGTGCTCTGAAGTCCAGACACAGAGGCCTAGGAGCTTCCTGTTAAGTGTGGCCGTTCCGCTCTGTCTCTACCAGGCACTCTGACTAGGGATGGATGATACCTCTCTTCAGGCGCTCCGCGGCGCTCTTGCTGCCAGCATAGGTGGGCCGGATCCCTTTGCCCATCTCCCCTGTGACCAACAGCAGTTCCGTGTAGGTGCTCTGGGAGCCCTGGGCACCAGGTGGTTTCATGGCCTGCACACAACCGACCGTAGGTGGTCCAAAGTCTTTAAACAGCGGTCTGCAAGGGGCAGTGGCTCCCGGCCCTGAGCCCGACGGCGACGGGACGCTTCCTGTAGGGACCGGAGTGCCTGGCCCAGGGGTGCTGAAGCCGGGGGTGCTGCTGGGGGCAGGGGTGGTAGGTTTGTAGGACATCCCCAACTCCTGGGCGCTGGGGAAGCCAGCAGGCTGCTCTTCGGGGGTTGGCTGCGGGACCGCTCAGCAGCGATCTGATTGGCAAGCGGGCTGCACGCCCCCTGGTAAATCTATATTAAACGTTTTAACTGCAATTTGTATTAATCTAAATACAGTTCAAATATTCTCCATGAAAATTTCACATTTGAGTTGAGACATCCTAAAATGTAAAATACACAATGGATTTCAAAGATTTCATATGAAAAAAGAATGCAAACTATCTCTAATAATTTTTATATTGATTACATATTGACCCAATATTTTGGATATATATTGGGTTAAATAAAATATACAATTTAAAAAAATTATGCTACATTTTTGTTAAAAAATTTAAATAAACTATATATGAAATTATTTCTTGGGATAGAAAAGGGGACATGATTAAATATTTACTTAAACTTTTTTCAAAAACATATCTTTAAAACAGATTTTCAAACACAAAAGTATTTTAATTTTGAATAGGTAAAATAAACTTATTCCTGCTGAAATTCAATCATGGCATGATTTCCTTTGTATGCATTTGAGGACTCTGTTTATAACCCAGATAAAAACATAAAACTTTTGAAACTCTTCTAAGAATGTCTAACACAAATTACCTGTATAGATATCATGGCACAGACGATGCTGAGGCCGGACTGACTGAAGAAGAACAGGCTGAAGATGCTGTACTCACACAGCAGCTGGCCCCCAGGTTACCCGCCCTTCATGTACATGGCGATGGTCACCTGGCTCACCAGCAAAGTGAACAACAGGTCGGTGGCAGCCAGCCGCATAACTGTATAGAAGGTGGTCTCCTTCTGCTCCTTGCGCGACTTGCACAGCACCACGATGGCCACCAGGTTGCCCACCACCCCGAAAATGGACGGTCCCAGGCTGTCCAGCAGATTGGGCTCCAGGCCAAGGACACATTGGCCTGGGAAGGGGTTAACATGACAGTGGCTGGTGGTACGCAGCCCTGGAGTGCAAAGCTGAGTCTGGAGATGGCAGAAGAGAGACAAAGCCACCATGAGTGAAATGACCACCTGCAGGGCATTAGACCCGCGCCCAGGAAACGGGATGCTAACATGACAAGGGAGGAACTCAATCCCACTCTCTGGATTGCAACCACTTACCAACGGCAGCCACCCAAATCTCCAGGCTCGCTCTGCTCCTGCCAGCAGCACACCCTTGCTGATCTTAATATTTATAAACTGAGCCTCCCATTCCTCTTCCTCCCCCCAGCCTATCTCACTCCACTGACAAGACCCATCTCCAGGGAAAGGTAGCTCCCTAGTATTATTCCCGACAGATTCTGAGTTAATAAAATGCACATTGAAACCCTGGAAGACAATTTGGAAAGCGCTCTCTTTCCTCCTTGGCTCCCCTGGCAGCGCCGCATCTCCGCGCCCTTTGCCTGATGGCCCACATCCCATGTCACGTGTAACGGCCCCAGTGGTGGGGCCTAAGACAATGAAACCTAAGACTAATTGGTGTACCTGAGGAAGAAGTGAATTCTAAAGGCTAGGAAAACATATTTGGGGGAATAGTCAAGGAAAACTTCCGTGGCCTTGTGAGAGACCTAGACATCCAAATACAAGAAGCACAAATAACACCTGGGAAATTCATCACAAAAAGATCTTAGCCTAGGCACATTGTCATTGGGTTATCCAAAGTTAAGACAAAAGAAAGAATCTTAAGAGCTGTAAGACAGAAGCACTAGGTAACCTATAAAGGAAAACCTATCAAACTAACAGCAGATTTTGCAGCAGAAACCTTAAAAGCTAGATGGGATTGGGGCCCTTTCTTCAGCCTCCTCAAACAAAACAATTATCAACCAAGAATTCTGTATCCAGCAAAACTAAACATCATATATGAAAGAAAGATACAGTCATTTTCAGACAAACAAATGCTGACAGAATTTGCCATTACCAAACCAGCACTGTAAGAACTGCTAAAAGGAGCTCTAAAATCATGAAACCCTGGAAACACATCAAAACAGAACTTCATTAAAGCATAAATCACACAAGACCTATAAAACAAAAATACAAGTTAAAAAGCAAAAACAAAAAACAAAAACAAAGTACAGAGGCAACAGAGAGCATGATGAAAGCAATGGTACCTCACTTTTTAATACTAATGTTGGTTGTAAATGGCTTCAATGCTCCACTTACAAGATACAGAACCACAGAATGGATAATAACTCACCATCTAACTATCTGCTGCCTTCAGGAGACTCACCTAACACATAACGACCTACATAAACTTAAGGAAAGTGGTAGGAAAAGGCATTTCATGCAAATGGACACCAAAAGCGAGCAGCGGTAGCTATTCTCATATGAGACAAAACAAACTTTAAAGCAACAGTAGCTAAAAGAGACAAAGACAGACAGTATATAATGGTAAAGGTCTCATTCAACAGAAAAACATGACAATCCTAAACATACATGAACCTAACACTGGAGCTCCCAAATTTATAAAACAATCACTAGTAAACATAAGAAATAAGATAGACAGCAACACAATAATAGTGGGGGACTTCATTACTCCACTGACAGCACTAGACAGGTCATCAAGACAGAAAGTCAACAAAGAAACACTGGATTTAAACTATACTTTGGAACAAATGGACTTAACAGATATATAAGAACATTTCATCCAACAACCACAGAATACACATTCCATGCAACAGCACATGGAATTTTCTCCAAGATAGACCATATGATAGGCCATAAAATGAGTCTCAATAAATTTAAGAAAATTGAAATTGTACCACGCACTGTCTCAGATCACAGTGGAATAAAACTGAAAATCAACTCCAAAAGGAATCTTCAAAACCATGCAAATACATGGAAATTAAATAACCTGCTCCTGAATGAGCACTGGGTGAAAAACAAAATCAAGATGGAAATGGAAAAAATTTCTTTGAACTGGATGACACAACCAATCAAGACCTCTGGGATACAGCAAAGGCAGTGCTAAGAGGAAAGTTTGTAGCCCTAAACACCTATGTCAAAAAGTATGAAAGAGCACAAACAGACAATCTAAGTTCACATCTCAGAGAACTGGAGAAGCAGGAACAAGCCAAACCCAATCCCAGCAAACAAAGGAAATAACCAAGATCAGAGCAGAACTAAATGAAATTGACACAGCAACAACAACAACAACAAATACAAAACATGAATAAAACAAAAAGTTGGTTATTTGAAAAGATAAACAAAATCGATAGACCATTATAAGATTAACCAAGAAAAGAAGAGAGGAAATCCAAATAACCTCACTAAGAAATGAAACAGGGGATATTACAACTGACACCACTGAAATATTAAAGATTATTCAAGGGTACTATGAACACCTTTTGGCACAAAAACTAGAAAACCCAGAAGAGTTGCATAAATTCCTGGAAAAATACAACCCTCCTAGCTTAAATCAGGAAGAAGTAGATACCCCAAGCAGACCAATAAAACAAGCAGCAAGATTGAAATGGTAATTTTAAAATTACCAACAAAAAAAGCCGAGGACCAGACAGATTCACAGCAGAATTCTACCAGACATTCAAAGAATATTTTCTTTTATTCAAAGGAGAAATGATACCAATCCTTTCACACTATTCCACAAGACAGAGAAAGAAGAAACACTCCCTTCTTTCTATGAAGCCAGCATCACCCTAATACCAAAACCATGAAAGGACATAACCAAAAAAGAAAACTACAGACCAATATCCATGATGAACACAGATGCCAAAATCCTTAACAAAATACTATCTAACTGAATCCAACAACATATCAAAAAGATAATCCACCATGATCAAGTGGGTTTCATACCAGTGACACAGGAATGGTTTAACATATGCAAGTCAATAAATGTGATACACCAAATAAACAGAATTTAAAAAAAAACTCACATGATTTTATCAACAGATGCAGAAAAAGCATTTGACAAAATCTAGCATTGCTTTATGATTAAAGCTCTCAGCAAAATAGGCATACAAGGGACATACCTTAATGTAATAAAAGCCATCTATGACAGACCCACAGCCAACATAATACTGAATGGGGAAAAGGTGAAAGCATTCCCTTTGAGAACTGGAACAAGACGAAGAGCCTACTCTCACCACTCCTTTTCAACATAGTACTGGAGGTCCTAGCCAGAGCAATCAGACAAAAGAAGGAAATAGAGGAAATCCAAATCGGTGAAGAGGAAGTCAAACTGTTACTGGTTGCTGACGATATGATCTTTCGCCTTGAAAACCCTACGGACTCCTCTAGAAAGCTCCTAGAACTGATAAAAGAATTCAGCAAAGTTTCCAGATACGAGATTAATGTACACAAATCAGTAGCTCTTCTATACATCAACAGCTACCAAGCTGAGAATCACATCAAGAACTCAACCCCTTTTACAATAGCTGCAAAAAACAAACAAAAAAAAACAAACAAAACTTAGGAATATACCTAGCAAAGTAATCAAAAGACCTCTACAATGAAAATTACAAAACACTGCTGAAAGGAATCATAGATGGAGCCAAGCACGTTGGCGCATGCCTATAATCCCAGCTACTCGGGAAACCGAGGCAGGAGAATCACTTGAACCCGGGAGGCAGAAGTTGTAGTGAGCCGAGATCACACCATTGCACTCCCACCTCAGCGACAAGAGCGAAACTACCTCTGAAAAAAAAAAAAACAAGAAAGAAAAGAAATCATAGATGACACAAACAAATGGAAACACATCCCCATGCTCATGGATGGGTAGAACCAATATTGTGAAAATTACCATTCTGTTAAAGGCAATCTACGAATTCAATGCAATCCCCATCTGAATACCACCATCATCCCTCACAGAATTACAAAAACAATTCTAAAATTAATATGGAACCAAAAGAGTGCCATGTAGCCAAACCAAGGCTAAGCAAAATGAACAAGCCTGGAGGCATCACACTACTTGATTTCAAACTGTACAATAAGGCCATAGTTACCAGAACAGCATGGTACTGGTTTAAAAATAGGCACATAGACCAATGGAACAGAAGAGAGAACTCAGAAATTAACCCAAATACTTACAGCCAACTGATCTTTGACAAAGCAAACAAAAACATAAAGTGGGGAAAGGACACCCTTTTCAACACATGAAGTTGGGATAATTGGCGAGCCACATGTAGGGGAATAAAACTGGATTCTCATCTCTCACCTTATACAAAAATCTACTCAAGATGGATTAAGAATTTAAACCTAATTCCTGAACTGTAAAAATTCTAGAAGATAACACTGGATAAACCCTTCTAGACATTGGCATAGGCAAGGATTTCATGACCAAGAACCCAAATGCAAATGCAATAAAAACAAAGATAAATAGCTGGGACTTAATTAAACTAAAGAGCTTTTGCATGGCAAAGGGAACAGTCAGCAGAGTAAATAGACAAATCGCAGAGTGGGACCCCTGACCCTGACCCCTAACCACTGACCCTGACCCCTAACCCCTGACACAAACCCTAACCACTATCCCTAACCCCAACCCTCACCCTAACCCAACCCTAACCCCTAATCCCTAACCCCTAACATCTCTTAAACCCTAACTCTAAACGTTGACTCCTAACCCCTAACTCTGACCCCAATCCCTATCTCCAACCTCTAACCCTAAACTTAACCCCTAACCCCTAACCCTAACACCAACCTTAACCCTAGGTTCGTTACTAAGTTTGTATTGACTATGTCAATGTTGATTATTATGATGGCTGTCTTTGGACTGCACGGCAGCGAGGGGATTGCGGATCTTATATTAATATTTTTGTATTGAGGCAGCGCATTAGCATTACAGGTGCTTGTTACATGAGCAATGGGGGTGTCATACTTTGGGTGTCATGTCTGCATTAGGAATGCCGCATTTGTCTTCCGAGGCTGCGGTGTGGATCTCGCACTGCGGCCGCCTCGCCTTGGCTGGGGAGAACCTCGGTGGGCAGGATTCAGAGGGGCTTTTGGTTTCCCGTTTTCCACACTGAACCCTTCTAACTGGTCTCTGACCCTGATTATTCAGGGCTGCAAACAGGAAGGATTTTATTCACCGTTGATGCGGCCCCGAGTTGTCCCAAAGCGAGGCAGTGCCCCCAAGGTCTGTGCTGAGGAGAACGCTGCTCTGCCTTCGCGGTGTCCCCTGGGTGTGTGCTGAGCAGAACGCAGCTCCGCCCTCGCGGTACCCACGGCCCGCCCGCCCGGGTCTGTGCTGAGGCGAACACTGCTCCGCCTTCGCTGTATCTCCGAAGTCTGTGCAGAGGAGAACTCAGCTCCGCCCTCGCGATGCTCTCCGGGTCTGTGCCGAGGAGAAGGCAGCTCCGCCCTAGCAAAGGCAGAGCGCCCTTCGCAAAGGCAGAGAGGCGCAGGCGCGGAGGGGGTGCAGGCGCGGAGGGGGCGCAGGCGCGGAGGGGGCGCCGGCGCAGGCGTGGAGAGGCGCAGAGCAGGGCAGGTGGCACCAACAGTGGGTCCCTCAGGCCTCGAGCGCAAGCATTCCAGCAGCCACCCAGACCATGCTCCGCCGACTGGGCGCCCAAGCTGCAGTCGCCCTCTGTGTGCAGGCAGCAGCTGCCTGGCAACCCCCGAGCTCGCTCGCGCTGTCAGCATCGCAGAACTAGGGCCAGGTGTCCCAGTGGCTGCGGCCAAGCCAGGCATTCTGACCGGCGGCGGCGGCTGCACAGGAGCGAGAACTGAGAAGCCGCCGCTCAACCCCACACGGGGTGACTGCTGAGGGCCCATACCAACGGCCCCGATCTCCCTCAGGTGGAGGACTGGGCGGGAGGCACAGCCTGGGGGCCCTCAGGCTGGGCGCGCTGGCGATCCCGAGGCCGACCAGGCCATGCACCTCCAGCCCGCCTGGGCACCCAAGCTGCAGCCGCCTTCTGTGTGCAGGCAGCAACCTCCAGGCAACTCCCGAGTCCGCCCTCACTTCCCACATCTCGGAACGAGGGCCAGATGTCCGTGTGGCTGCGGCCAAGCCAGGCGGTCTGCCCTGCAGCAGCTGCACGGGGGCGGGAACCGGCCCTCAGCCCTATCCCCCGTGGCTGCAGAGGGCCCTTGGCTAGAGGTGTCGAGCTCTGGCATAGGAGGAGCCGGGCGGGGGCAGGGTCTGGCGGGCTCTCAGGCCAGGAGCACTTGCGATCCAGAGGCCGCCCAGGCCATGCTCACCACCTGGGCGCCCAGCTACAGGCGCCAGGCAACTCCCAAGCTGGCTGGCGCGCCCAGCCTCGCAGACCCGGGCCTGGATGTCGCCGTGGCTGCGGCCAAGCCAGGCGGTCTGCTCGGCGGCGGCTGCACCGGGGCAGGAACCGACCCTCAGCCCCATCCCCGGTGGCTGCGGACGGCCCCTGGAGCGGCCCCGACGTCTCTTCGGAGGAGAAGAGGGGTGGGAGTCACGGCCAGGCAGGCCCTCAGGCGGGAAGGGATGCGCGCCTGCGATTCCGGGACGTACCGCGCCAGCCCAGGAGAACCCGGAAGCCAGCAGCTCTTGTTTCTCTGTGTGTTTCTGTGAGGAACCACCAAATTGTTTTCCACGGCAAGTGCATCATTTTCTATTCCTAGCAGCCAGTTCATGAGGGCTCCAATTTCTCCACCTCCTTAGCAACATTGATTTTCTGTGTCGTTGTTATGAAAGCCTTACTAGTGGATGCAAAGTGGTATCTCATTTGGGTTTTGTCTTGCATTTTATTAATGAATAACAGTGTTTAGCATCTTTTCTTATCCGTCTTACACATTTGTGTATCTTCTTCGGAGAAATGTCTATTCAAGTCCTTTGCCTATTTTTTAATTGGGATGTTAGAAATTCTGATGTTGAGTTGTGGGATATTAAGCTTTTATCAGATACGCACTTTGATTTTATCAGATACATATTTTCTCACATACTATGGGTTGTCTTTTCACTCCCTTGATAGTATCCTTTGATGCATAAAGGTTTTTTATTTTGATTAAATCTAATTTACGTGTATTTTCTTTTGTTATCTGTGCTTTTCTGTCATATTTCAAAATACACTTAAAACTCAAAGGTCATAAAGGTTTACCTTGTGTTTTCTTCTAAGAGTTACATACTTTAGTCCTTACATGTAAGTCTTTTATTAATTTAGAATTAATTTTCGTGTATACTGCAAGGTAGGGGTCTAACTTCTCTCTTGTGCACTGACATCCAGCTGTTGAAGAGACTGTTCTTTCCTCCCTTGACTAGACTTGGACAGCTTGTTGAACAGTCATTGACCATATATGTGAGCGCTAATTTGTAGGATCTTAAATCTGTTCTATTGTATTGGTCTAAAAGTCTATTAGTCTTATGCCAGTACCACACTCTCTTGATTACTGTAGATTTGTAGTAGGCTGTGAAACTGAAAAATGTGAGTTTTCTAATATTCTTTTTCAAGACTGTTTTGTCTGTCAGATCCTTTGAATTTTTGTATGAATTGTAGAATGAGTTTCTTTCTTTCTGCAGAAATGCCTTTGGGATTTTGATGGTATTGCATTGAATCTGTAGATTACTTTAGATGGTATTGTCATCTTAACAGTATTGTCTTACAACCCGTGAACACAGAATGTCTTTCCGGTTATTTCCACTCTCTTTCGTTTTTTTCAGCAAAGTTTTGTGTATACCACCATGGTTAGATTTATGCCTGAATAACTTATTCTTTGATGCTATTATAAATGGAATTTTTAAAATATTTTCATAGTTCTTTACAACTATATAGAAATATAGCTCATTTGCCTATGTTTGTTTTGCATCCTGCCTCTTTTATTAGTTATAATCGGTTTTGTGTTTTATTTGGAGCTTTATACACATAAGATCATGTGTAGATATAATTTTACTTCTGTTTTTTATTTCTAATTTAGATGCCTTTTATTTCTTTGTCTTGCCTAATTGCTCTGGCTAAAATTGCCAGTGGTACATTGAACACAAGTGGCAAATGCACCATGCTTGTCTTGTTCTAGATGTTAGGAAAACAGCTTTCAGTGTTTCATCATTGATCATGATATTAACTGTTGGGTTTTTGTACATCCTATTGTCATGTTGCAGAAAATCCCTTCTATGCCTAGTTTATTGAGTATTTTTATTATAGAAGGGTGTTGTATTTCATCAATGTTTTCTCTGCATCAATTGAAATAATCACGTGCTTATTCATTTTACTGTTAGAGTATATTACACTGATTGATTTTTTATATGTTGAGCCACCCTTGCATTTTGGGGATAAATCTCACAGGGTGATAGTTTACAATCCTTTGATTATACAGTATTGCTGCTAGTATTTTGCTAGTATTGCTAGTATTTTGCTGAGATTTTTGCTTATATATTCATAAGGGATATTGTGCTGTAGTTCTCTTTTTGTGCTCTCTTTGGCTTTGGTATAAGGATAATGCTGTTATCAAAAAATGAATTAGCAAGTATTCCTTCTTCATATATTATGTCAGAAGAGTTTGAGAAGAAATGGTATTAATTCTTCTTTAAATGTTAGGTTGACTCACCAGTTAATGCAGCTATTTGGTCATAAATGTTTCTTTGTTAATCACTTTCGATTACTAATTCAATCTCCTAGGTTATAGGTCTATTCAGATTTTCTCTTTCTTCTTGAGCCACTTTGGTAGTTTGTGTCTTTCTAGTGATTCGTCCATTTCATCCAGGGCAGCTAATTTGTTGTTAGACAGTTGTTCACAGTATACTCCTGTAATCCTTTTGTATTTCTGTAAAGTTGGTAGTAATGGCTCTGCTTTCATTTATTATTTTAATAATTAGTCTTCCATCTTTTGCTCAGTCAATATAGTGAAAGGCTTGATCTTTCAAATAATCTATGTTTATTCATTCTACTGCTCTCCAAACTTCTATTTTATTGATTTATGCTCTAATTATGCTCTCTATTATTTCTTTCATACTGCTAGCTTTGGATTTAGTCTTATTTTGTCTTCTTCCACTGCCTTTAGGTATAGAGTGAGGATGTTGATTTCAGATTTTTCTTAAATGTAGTTGTTTATATCCATACATTTTCCTTTGAACTCTACTTTCACTGCATTCAATAAGTTTTGGTATGTTTTGTTTTTATTTTAATTTATCTCAAGATATTTTATAATTTTGCTTGTGATTTATTTTTTTCACTCACTGGTAGTTGAAGACTGTATTGTTTAATTTCCACATTTTCGTGAATTTTCCAGTTTTCACTTATTTATCTGTTGTTTCTTCCATTGTGGTTGTAAATTATATTTTGTATGATTTCAAACTTTTAAAAATGATTAGGACATATTTTGTGGACGAAGATATGGCCCATCCTAGAGAACTTCCATATACACTTGAAAGGAATGTATATTCTGCTGTTGTTGGATGGACTGTCCTGTATATGCGTATTAGCTCTCAGTGGCTTATACCGTTGTTTAACTCTTGTATTTCTCATGAAGCTTCTGTCTGGTTTTTCTATCCATTAATTAAAATGAGGTATTGAAGTGTCCAACTGTGACTATAGAACTGTGGGTTTATCCTTTCAATCCTGTTAATTATTTCAGCTTTACTGAGGTGTAATAGAGAAATAAAAATTGTACGTGATGCGTTTATATGCACATTCTGAAATGATTACCAAAACGAAGTCAATGAACATGTTAATTACCTCACAGAATAGTTACCTTTTTGTGTGCATGTGTGGGATAAGAAAACTTAACTCTATCCCCTGTGACTGCAGAGTGGCCATTCCAGCTGCTCCAGGCTCCAGCAGAGGAAGACTGGGGCAGGTGGCACCACCAGGGAGGCCCTCAGGCCTGGTGCACACGCATTCCAGAGGCCACCCAGACCATGCTCCGCCGCCTGGGTGCACAAGCTGCAGTCGCCCTCTGTGTGCAGGCAGCAGCTGCCTGGCAACCCTTGAGCCTGCTTGCGCTCCCAGTCTCGCAGAACCAGGGCCAGGTGTCCCTGTGGCTGTGGCCAAGCCAGGCATTCTGCCCGGCGGTGGCGGCTGCACAGGGGCGAGAACTGAAAACCCGCCGCTCAACCCCACACGGGGTGACTGCCGAGTGCCCATGACAGCGGCCCCGATCTCTCTCAGGTGGAGGAGTGGGTGGGAGGCACGGCCTGGGGGCCCTCAGGCTGGGCGCGCTGGCGATCCCGAGGCCGACCAGGCCATGCCCCTCCAGCCCGCCTGGGCTCCCAAGCTGCAGCCGCCTTCTGTGTGCAGGCAGCAGCCTCCAGGCAACTCCTGAGCCTGCCCACACTCCCCACATCTCGGAAGCAGGGCCAGATGTCCCTGTGGCTGCGGCCAAGCCAGGCGGTCTGCCCTGCAGCAGCTGCACGGGGGCGGGAAGCGGCCCTCAGCCCCATCCCCAGTGGCTCTAGAGGCCCCCTGGCTAGAGGTATCCAGCTCTGGCAGAGGAGGAGCCGGGCGGGGGCAGGGTCTGGCTTGACCATTTGGAATTACAATACACTTCATTCATCAACCACAGAACATACACTGGAGTATCATCTGCGTGCAGATGAGTATACTGCTCAAAGCGATTTACAGATTCAATGCTTTTCCTATCAAATTACTAATGTCATTTTGCACAAAATAGAAAACATCTAAAATTTATATGGAACCTAAAAGGAGTCTGAATAGCCAAGCCAAAGCAATACTAAGGCTAGAGACGTAGGCTAGCCAAGCCAAAGCAATACTAAGGCTAGAGACATAGGCTAGAGACATCATATTACATGACTTCAAACTATACTAGAAGACTATAGTAATCAAAACAACATGGTACTGGTAGAAAAACAGACACATAGACCAATGGAACAGACTAGAGTACTAGAAACTAAGGCCACATGCCTGCAACCATCACATCTTTAACAAAGTTGACAAAAGTAAGCAATGGGAAAAAGACTTTATTTAATAAATAATGCGGGGATAACTGGCTAGTCATATGCAGAAGAATAAAACTAGACCCCCATATTTCACCAAATACAAAAATTAGCTTAAGATGGATTAAAGAGTTAAATGAAAAAATCTCAAGCTATAAAACGCCTAGAAAAAAACCTAGGAAATACTTTTCTTGATAACGGCCTTGGCAAATAATTTATGGCTAAGTCCTCAAAAGCAATTGCAACTAAAACAAAAAATGACAAGTGGGATTTAATTAAACTGAAAAACTTTTGCACAACAAGAGAAACTATCAAGGTAGTAAAGAGATAACCCACAGAATGAAAGAAAATATTCACAAACTACGCATCTAACAGAGGTCTATTATGCAGAACCTATAAGGAACTTAAACAAATCAACAAGCAAGCAGCAAGTAACTCCATTAAAAAGTGGGCAACAGGACATGAACGGACACTTTTCAAAAGAAGACAT
This sequence comes from Homo sapiens, assembly GCF_000001405.40. Classification (NCBI taxonomy): domain Eukaryota; kingdom Metazoa; phylum Chordata; class Mammalia; order Primates; family Hominidae; genus Homo; species Homo sapiens. Next base: position 62,832,486 of record NC_000009.12, on the reverse strand, counting down.
ACACACAAGCACCCAACAAACATATGTAAAAGTGCTCATCGTCATTATTTATTAGAGAAATGCAAATCAAAACTGAAATGAAATACCATTTCACACCGGTCAGAATGGCTTTTTTTGAAAAGTCAAAAGAAAAACACATATCGGTGAAGATTTAGAGAATAGAGAACACTTATACACTTTCTGAAGGAATGTAAATTAGTTCAGCCACTGTGGAAAGCAGGTTGGGGATTTCTTAAAGAACTGAGAGTTGATCTACCATTCAATCCAGTAACCCCATTACTGGGTATATACCCGAAAGAAAATAAATACCCTATCAAAAAGACACATGTAGCTATATTTTTATCACAGCAGTATTCACAATCACAAAGACATAGGCTTAATCCAGACATCCATCAGTGGTGGATTGGATAAAGACTCATGGAATACTATACAGCCAGAAAAAACTCAAAATTATGCCATTTGAAGCAACATGAATGCATTCTTTCCAGAAAACTAATGCAAAAGCAAAAAACAAAATACCGCATGTTCTCTTTCATAAGTGGGAGCTAAATGCTGGGTACACATGGTCATAATACAGAGGGGTGGGAGGGGCCGGGACTGGTGGCTCACGCCTATAATCCCAACACTTTGAGAGGCCAAGGTGAGCGGATCACCGGAGGTCAGGAGTTTGAGACCACCCTGGCCAACGTGGTGAAACCCCGCCTCTAATGAAAACACAAAAATTAACTGGGCATGGTGGCTGGCGCCTGTAATCCCAGCTACTCCGGGGTCTGAGGCGGAGAGTCGCTTGAACCCGGGGGGCGGAGGTTGTAGTGAGCCAAGATCGCGCCACATCACTCCAGCCTGGGCGACGGAGCAAAACTCTGTCTCAAAAACAAACAAACAAACAAAAAACAAAGAGGGAGGGGGGAGGGAATACAGATTGATTAAAACTACCGATTGGTTAGTGTCCTCTCTACCTTGCTAATGAATTCATTCATTTAATTCATAATTCATTCATTCAATTCATAATTCAGTTCCCCCTGAGGAAAAAATATTCACTTGTCATTAAAATCTCTCTGTATCTTACTGATTTCAGATAGAAGTTAAATTTCACCTTAATAATAGACACAAAAGAACTAGTTAAACTGACAAAAACTAATAAACGTTTGCTCAAATTTACTGAGAGAGTCATGGGTACTTCATATAATAGTGACATTCTACCAGTTTTAAGTAAAATAAATAAAAGGAAACAATCTTAACTCATCGCCTACCGGAAGGGACGTGCCCCCGCTCCCAGGTGAGTGGGACCCTGCTCTCCGGGCGGGTTGCGCCGCGGTCTCTGGCACCTCTTGTTGGCAGCGTCGCCGTTGCAGGCACAGGGCAGGTATTGGGGGGCGGGCAGCGGGCCAGGCCCAGGCGACTCCCTTGCCAGGGGCTGGGCAGGTGTGGAGAGGGGCGGAGCGGTGCTGCCCTGGGCGATGGAGCCTCCCGCTCTGGACGGTTCGCCGCCCCTGCCCCAGGAAGGCGCTGCAGGATCTGGGTGGGGAAGGGGAGGGACGAGGGAACACAGGCCAGGCCAGGTGGCCCCTTAGACCTGGGTGATGCAGGAGGGGCTGTGGGAGACCAGAGAGGACCCGAAGCAGAAACCGGGAACTGATAACTCTGGCTGAATATTTGTCCTCTTGCTGAAGTTTGAAAGTCAGTTATTTAATTAAAGTTTAATTTTATTATAAAAATAACAACTATTAAAAATTCCATGTAGTCACTGGAATGATAAATTTTGGTGCAGTTTCAGCATAACACTCTAATTATTCAAATTGCGGCCATGTTTCAAAATATATGCCATATATTTTTATGGCATCCACCCCTGTGTCCCTGTGTCCCGCATCCACCTCTGTGTCCCTGCTGGCTCAGGAAATGAGCTTCTTCCTCCTTCCACAGACTCGAATCAGGCCGTCCTCCCTCCTGCGCCTGAGGCTGTCATGGGGACAGCCTGCCCTCGAATAGCCGGAGAACGCCCGGCCTGTGCCCTGTGCTCGGCCTGGTGTCCTGGCTCGTGCCCCTCAGAGCCCCGCACAAAGCAGTGTGACAGGTGTGGAAGGACCCAGCACCAGGCAGCGGTGAGCGGATGGATGCTCCAGGGATGTGGGGCTGCTGGCAGTCAAGAACCCATTGCCAAATTCCATGGCATAATTTTGGATATTTTTCCCTTATATTTTTGTGTAAGACTTTCAGACTTACACATTTTGAGTTTTTAAAAAAATATAGTATAAACTACAATTCTGACTTCTATATTTTACATGTTGATAGCAAATCTTCATACCTTTTTTGTGTTAAAGGGGGCTATTATTCCCTCTCCATAGTTTGGCCTTTGCACCCTTGTTGAAGATCATTTTGACCATATATACAAGGTTTTGTGGAGAGAGGGGTCTCTATTATTTTCTATGTCTACACGTCTTGATTTAATACATTTCTTTTTAGATTTTCTCCTTTTTACTTTTTGAGACAGGTTCTCTGTCATCCAGGCTGGGGTGCACTGGTGCGACCATGGCTCACTGCAGACTTGCTCTCCCAGGCTTAAAAAATCCTCTCACTTCAGCCTCTGGAATAGCTGAGACTACAGGTTCATGTCACATTGCCAGGTTAATTTTAATTTTAATTGTTTTTTTAGCGATGGGTGTTCTCACTAGGATGTCCAGTGTGGTTTGAACTCCTGGGTTCAAGCAATCCTCCTACCTCAGCCTCACAAAGTGCTGAGGTTACACGTGTAAGCCATAGAACCTGGCCTCAAAATACCACATTTGAAAAGAGTTCAACAGCACTGCAATTAGTTTTTGATTTAAAAATTGTGAGGGTTCCACAATTGACATTATTTTACAAGTTTAATTGGCTATTTTCAATCTTGAGATTTCATATGTTTTAGAATTTTGTATTTCTGCAAGTAAATATTGTTATGATTTATATAGCTATTGCATTTAATCTGTTGTTGATTTCATTAGTATAGACTTAAGAATATTGTTTTCTAATTTATGAATATGGGATATCTTTTCAATTGTCTAATCTACAAATATAGAATATCTTCCCCATTGTTTGTGACTTTTCTTCAGCAACATCTTGTAACTTCTAGTATACTAGTCTTACATCTCTTTGCTTGTTTATTCCAAAGTATATTCTTCTTAATGCTATTTTCAATGGAATTTTAAAAACTTGGATTGTACCATGTAATGAAGAGAAATACACTTAATTTTGTATTCTGCAATTTTGCTAAATGCAACTATTAGTTCTAACAGGTATTGTTTTCAGCATATAGGATTTTTTGTATATAACATCATATCATAAGTAACAGGTAATTTTACTTCTTCCTTTAGAATGTGGATCTTTTCTTTTTTTCATTGCCTAGTTGTTTTGCCAGGACTTTCACTGATATTTTTGAATAGATGTGACAACAGTGAATATCTTGCCTTATTCTTAACCTTAGAGGATAAACTTTCCACACTTCAGAATTCAGTGTAATATTAGTGATGATTGTTTTTGTTTTTTTGTTTTTGTTGTTGTTTTTGTTTTTCTGAGATAGGATCTTGCTCTGTCAACCAGGCTGGAGTGCAGTGGCATGATCTGGGCTCACTGCAACCTCCACCTCCCGAGTTCAAGCTATTCTCATGCCTCAGCCTCCCTGGTAGCTGGGACTACAGGCACATACCACAAAGTCAAGCTAATGTTAATATTTTTTGTAGAGACAGGGATTCACCATGTTGGTCAGGCTGGTCTGGAACTCCTGACCTAAAATCATCCACCCACCTCAGCCACCCAAACTGCTGGGACTATAGGCATGAGCTGTTGAACACAGTTGGTGATGAGTTATTTACATATCTTTTGCTATGTTAGTTTCCTTTTATTTCTACTTTATTGAGTGTTTTTTTATCTTGAAAAGATGATTAATACTGTCAGTTGACTTTTCTGCATTATTTGAGATGATTGTGTGGTTTACATCTTTTTCTCTGTTAATGTGATATATTAAACTGATTGATTTAAACTCTCATTCCAATATAGCCAAATAGGAAGAGCTCTGGTCTGCAGCTCCCAGTGTGATCAATGCAAGATGGGTGATTTCTGCGTTTCCAACTGAGCTACCTGATTCATCTCATTGGGACTGATTGGACAGTGAGTTCATCCCATGGAGGGTGAGCTGAAGCAGGGCAGGGCATCAACTCACCCAGGAAGTGCAAGGGGTTTGGGGATTTTCCTTTCCTAGCCAAGGGAAGGCATGACAGACTGTACCTGGAAAAACAGGACACTCTTGCCCAAATACTGCACTTTTTGCACAGTCTTAGCAACTGGCAGACCAGGAGATTCTCTCCTGTGCCTGATTCATTGGGTCCCACACCCATAGGGCCTTGCTTACTGCCAGTGCAGCAGTCTGAGATTAACCTTCATGCTGCAGCTGAGCAGGTGGAGGTGAATCCACAATTTTTGAGGTTTCAGTAGGTAAACAAAGTGGCCAGGAAGCTTGAACAGGGTAGAGCCACTCACAGCTCAGCAAGGCCTACTGCCTTTATAAACTCCACCTCTGCGGGCAGGGCACAGCTGAATAAAAGGCAGCAGAAACTTCTGCAGACTTAAACCTCCCATCTGACAGCTCTGAAGAGAGCAGTGGTTCTCCTGGCATGGTGTTTGTGCTCTGAGAATGGACATACTGCCTCCTCAAATGGGTCCCTGAACCCCGTGTAGCCTAACTGGGAGACATCTCATAGTACGGGCCAACAGACACCTCATACAGGTAGGAGACCCTCTTCAACGAAGCTTCCAGGGAAGGATCAAGCAGCAATATTTGCTGTTCTGCAGCCTTCTCTGTTGATACCCAGGCAAACAGGGTCTGGAGTGGACCTCCAGCAAACTCCAACAGACCTGCAGCTGAGGGACCTGACTGTTAGAAGGAAAACTAACAAACAGAAAGGAATAGCATCAACATAAACAAAAAGGACATCCACACCAAAACCCCATCTGTAGGTTACCAACATCAAATACCAAAGATAGATAAAACCACAAAGATGGGAAGAAACCAGAACAGAAAAGCTGAAAATCCTACAAACCAGAGCATCTCTTTTCTTCCAAAGGATTGCAGCTCCTCACCAGCAATGGAACAAAGCTGGAGGGAGAGTGACTTTGATGAGTTGACAGAAGGAGGCTTCAGAAGGCTGGTAATAACAAACTTCTCCAAGCTAAAAGAGCATGTTTGAACACATCGCAAGGAAGCTAAAAACCTTGAAAAAAGGTCAGACAATGGCTAACTAGAATAAACAGTGTAGAGAATACCTTAAATGACCTTATGGAGCTGATAACCATGGCACAAGAACTCTGTGACACATGCACAAGCTTCAATAGCTGATTCAATCCAGTGGAAGAAAGGATATCAGTGATCGAAGATCAAATTAATAAAATAAAGTGAGAAGACAAGTTTAGAGTAAAAAGAGTGAAAAGAAATGAACAAAGCCTCCAGGAAAAATGGGACTATGTGAAAAGACCAAATCTATGTTTGCTTGGTGTACCTAAATGTGACAGAGAGAATGGAACCAAGTTGGAAAACACTCCTTAGGATGTTATTCAGGAGAATTTTCCCAATGTAGCAAGGCAGGCCAGCATTCAAATTCAGGAAATACAGACAACACCACAAAGTTACTTCTGGATAAGAGCAACCCCAAGATACTAATTGTCAGATTCACCAGGGTTGAAATGAAGGAAAAAATGTTAAGGGCAGCCAGAGAGAAAGGTCGGGTTACCCACAAGGGGAAACCCATCAGACTAATAGCAGATCTCTCAGCAGAAACCCTAGAAGCCAGAAGAGAGTGGGGGTCAATATTCAACATTCTTAAAGATAAGAATTTTCAGCCCAGAATTTCATATCCAGCTAAACTAAGCTTCATAAGTGAGGGAGAAGTAAAATCCTTTACAGACAAGCAAATGCTGAGAGATTTTGAGACCTCCTGGCCTGCCTTAAAAGAGCTCCTGAAGGAAGCACTAAGCGTGGAAAGGAACTACCAGTACCAGCCACTGCAAAAAATATGCCAAATTGTAAAGACCATCGATACTATGAAGAAGCTGCATCAATTAACAGGAAAAACAGTGAGCTAACATAACAATGACAGGATCAAATTCACACATAACAGTATTGACCTTAAATGTAAATGGGCTAAATGACTCAATAAAAAGACATAGACTGTCAAATTGGATAAAGAGTCAAGACCCATCAGTGTGCTGTATTCAGGAGACCCATCTCACATGCAGAGACACACATAGGCTCAAAATAAAGGGATGGAGGAAGATCTACCAAGAAAATGGAAAGCAAAAAAATTAAAAATTAAAAAAAAGCAGGGGTTGCAATCCTAGTCTCTGATAAAACAGAATTTAAACCAACAAAGATCAAAAGACACAAAGAAGGCCATTACATAATGGTAAAAGGATCAATTCAGCAAGAAGCGCTAACTACCCTAAATATATATGCACTCAATACAGGAGCACCCAGATTCGTAAAGTAAGTCCTTAGATACCTACAAACAGACTTAGACTCCCACACAATAATAATGGGAGACTTTAACACTCCACTGTCAATATTAGACAGATCAACAAGACAGAAGGTTAACAAGGATATCCAGAACTTGAACTCAGCTCTGCACCAAGTGGACCTAATAGAAATTTACAGAATTCTCCACCCCGTATCACCAGAATAAACATTCTTCTCAGCACCACATCGCAGTTATTCTAAAATTGATCACATAATTGGAAGTAAGCACTCCTCATCAAATGTAAAAGAACAGACATCACAACAAACTGTCTCTCAGATCACAGTGCAATCAAATTAGAACTTAGAATTAAGAAACTCACTCAAAATGGCCCAAACACATGGAAACAGAACAACCTGCTTCTGAATGGCTACTGGGCAAATAACGAAATGAAGGCAAAAATAAAGATGTTCTTTGAAACCAGTGAGAACAAAGACAAAAAACACCAGAATCTCTGGGACACATCTAAAGCAGTGTGCAGAGGGAAATTTATAGCACTAAATGCCCACAAGAGAAAGCAGGAAAGATCTAAAATTGACAGCCCCACATCACAATTAAAAGAACTAGAGAAACAGGAGCAAACAAATTCAAAAACAAGCAAAAGGCAAGAAAGATCAGAGCAGAACTAAAGGAGATAGAGACACAACAAACCCTTAAAAAATCAATGAATTTAGGAGCTGATTTTTTGAAAGATCAACAAAATTGATAGACCACTAGCAAGACTAATAAAGAAGAAAAAAGACAAGAATCAAATAGACACAATAAAAAAAGATAAATGGTATATCATCACTGATCCCACAGAAATACAAACTACCATCAGAGAATACTATAAACTCCTCTACACAAATAAACTAGAAAATCTAGAAGAAATGGATAAATTCCTGGACACATACACCCTCCCAAGATTAAACCAGGAAGAAGTTGAATCTCTGAATAGACCAATAACAGGATCTGAAAATTGAGGCAATAATTAATAGCATACCAACAAAAAAATATCCAGGACCAGATGGATTCACAGCTGAATCCTACCAGAGGTACAAAAAGGAGCTGGTACCATTCCTTCTGAAACTATTCCAATCAATAGAAAAAGAGGAAATCCTCCCTAATTCATTTTATGGGACCAGTATCATCCTGATACCAAACCCTGGCAGAGACAAAACAAAAAAAAAGAGAATTTTAGACCAATATCCTTGATGAACATCGATGTGAAAATCCTCAATAAAATACTGGCAAATGGAATCCAGCAGCATATCAAAAAGCTTATCCACCACGATCAAGTAGTCTTCATCCCTGGAATGCAAGGCTGGTACAACATACACAAATTAATAAATGTAATCCATCATATAAACAGAATCAATGACAAAAACCACATGACTGTCTCCATAGATATAGAAAAGGCCTTTGACAAAATTCAACAGTCTTTCCTGCTAAAAACTCTCAATAAACTACATATTGATGAAATGTATCTCAAAATAATAACAGCTATTTATGACAAACCCACAGCCAGGGCAATCAGGCAAGAGAAAGAAACAAAGGTATTCAATTAGGAAGTCAAATTATCTCTGTTTGCAGATGACATGATTGTATATTTAGAAAACCCCATCGTCTCAGCCCAAAATCTCCTTAAGCTGATAAGAACTTTAGCAAAGTCTCAGGATAAGAAATCAATATGCAAAAATCACAAGAATTTCTATACACCAATAACAGACAAACAGAGAGCCAAATCATGAGTGAGCTCCCATTGACAATTGCTACAAAGAGAATAAAATACCTTGGAATACATCTTACAAGGGATGTGAACGACCTCTTCAAGGAAAACTACAAATCACTGCTCAACAAAATAAAAGAGGACACAAACAAATGGAAGAACATTCCATGCTCATGGATAGGAATAACCAATATTGTGAAAATGGTCATACTGCCCTAGGTAATTTACAGATACAATGCCATCCCCATCAAGCTACGAATGACTTTCTTCACAGAATTAGAAAATACTACTTTAAAGTTCATATGGAACCAAAAAAGAGCCCATATCGCCAAGACAATCTAAGCAAAAAGAACAAAGCTGGAGGCATCACACTATTTGACTTCAATCTATACTACAAGGCTACAGTAACCAAACAGCATGGTACCGATATCAAAACAGATCTATAGACCAATGGAACAGAACAGAGGCCTCAGAAATAACACCACACATCTACAACCATCTGATCTTTGAAAAACCTGACAAAAACAAGCAATGGAGAAAGGATTCCCTATTTAATAAATGGTGCTGGGAAAACTAGCTAGTCATAGGTAGAAAGCTGAAACTGGATCCCTTCCTTACACCTTATACACAAATTAATTCAACAGGGATTAAAGGCTTAAATGTTAGGCCTAAAACCATAAAAACCCTAGAAGAAATCCTAGGCTACATCATTCAGGTCATAGGCATGGGCAAAGATTTCATGACTAAAATACCAAAAACAATGGCAACAAAAGCCAGAATAGACAAATCAGATCTAATTAAACTAAAGCGCTTCTGCACAGTAAGAGAAACTACCAACAGCATGAACAGACAACCTACAGAATGGGAGAAAATTGTTGGCAATCTATCCATCTGACAAAGGGCTAGTATCCAGAATCTACAAAAAACTTAAACAAATTTACAAGAAAAAAACACCATCAAAAATTGGGCAAAGGATATGGACAGACACTTCTCAAAAGAAGACATCTATGCAGCCAACAGACACATGAGAAAATGCTCATCATCAATGGTCATCAGAGAAATGCAAATCAAAACCACAGTGAGATACAATCTCACGCCAGTTAGAATGGTGATTATTTGAAAGTCAGGAAACAACAGATGCTGGAAAGCATGTGGAAAAATAGGAAGGCTTTTACACTGTTGGAGGGATTGCAAATTAGTTCCACCACTGTGGAAGACAGTGTGGCCATTCCTCCAGGATCTAGAACTAGAAATACCATCTGACCCAGCAATCCCATTACTGGGCATATACCCAAAGGATTATAAATCATGCCACTATAAAGACACAAGCACATGTATGTTTATTGCAGCACTATTCACAATAGCAAAGACTTGGAACCAACCCAAATGTCCATCAATGATAGAACTGATTAAGAAAATGCAGCACATATACACCATGGAATAGTACACAGCCATAAAAACAGATGAGTTTTTGTCCTTTGCGGGGACTTGGATGAAGCCAGAAACCATCATTTTCAGCAAACTATCACAAGGACAGATAACCAAACACCACATGTTCTCACTCATAGGTGGGAATTTACCAATGAGAACACTTGGACACAAGGCAGGTAACATCACACAATGGGGCCTGTCAGGGGCTGGAGGGCTAGAGGAGAGATAGCAGTAGGAGAAATATCTAATGTAAATGATGAGTTGATAGGTGCAGCAAAACAACATGGCACATGTAAACCTATGTAACAAACCTGCATGTTGTCCACATGTACCCTAGAACTTAAAGTATAATAAAAAAATAAAAAACAAATAGATTGATTTACACGTGTTGAACAATACTTTCATTGGAGAGATAACTCCTTCTTCGTCATGGTGTATAATCCTTGCAATATGTTATTGAATTTGGTGTTCTAATGTTCCGAGGAGAATTTTTACATCAATAGTCAACAGGAAAATTGATTTGTAGTTGTATTTTTTTTTCTCCTTAGTGTCTTTGTGGGGTTTGGTGTTGTGTTAATGCTGGGCTCATAAAATAAGTTGGAAATTGTTTTATCTTTTTCATTTTTCTGAAGTAGTTTAAGAAGGGTTGGTGTTAACCCTGCTTTAACATTTTGAAAAAAATATGTATTTAATGAAGTGATCCGGGCCTGGGCTTTTTGAGGGGAGGTTGTTGTTACTACTTATATGCCTATTCAGATTTTTTTATGGTTTATTTTTAGTATAATCTGTATTTCTAGACATTTGTCTATTTCTCTTAGCTTATCATATTTTTTGGCATATACTTGGAATTAAACTTTTATAATCTCTTCTTTTCCTACTTTTGTGGCATCAGTAGTAATAGCTCCTCTTTTATTTATGAATTTAATTATTTGAGGTATCTTCTTTTTTCTTTTAATCTGTTTGTCGGTTTTCTTAATCTTTTCAATAAAACCAAACTTTAATTGATTTTTCTATGGCTTTTAATTGTTATTTATTTATAACTGCTGAAATTCTTATTCTTTACTGATGTTTGATTACATTTACTAGTTGATTTAGATAGATTTTTTAAATGTACACATTTACTACTACAATTGAATACAAGCTTTAGATGCATTCAATAATTTTGTTATGCTTTGTCTCCAGTTATGTTGAAATTTTCACTGTGATTTCTTCTTTAACCCATAATGTTGTTTAGGAGCATGTTACTTGATTTTTATGTATTTGCAAATTTTTAAATTTTTCTTCTGGTATTCACTTCTAGTTCCATTCCATTTTAGTTGTAAATGATACTTCGTATGATTTTAATTTTCTTGAATTGATTTCTTTGTGGTCCGATTTGTGATATAGTCTCAAGAATGTTCCATGTGCACACCAGAATCATGCGCATTCTGTTGTTGAGAAGACCGTTTCTAAAAGTCTGTTGGATTTGGTGGAATCACTCCTTGCTCAATCCTCTGTCTTCATTTGGTCTCCCAGGTTGTCCTCTCCATTATTAAAGTCTCCTATCATTTTGGTGGTGGTCTCTATTCCTCCCTTTATTTTTATTTATAATTTTGTTTCTTACGCAGACGAAGTGTTGCTATCTTGCCCAGGTTAGTCTCAAATCCTGGGCTCAAGCCATCCTCCTGCCTCTGCCCCCGCCAAGATGCAGGGATTACAAGCAGGCGTGAGCCACTGTACTCAGCCTATTTCTCCTTTTAATTCTGTCATTATTTGTGTTATGTGTTTGGAATAGTTGCTGATTCATGTGCATATTTTAATTATGGTATCTTCTTGGAGATTTATTTTTATTATATAATGTCCTTGTTTGTCTTTATGACAGTTTTTTGCTTAAAGTCTAATCATCTAATGTAAATGTGACCCACTTTGTTCTATTTTGGTTGCTATTTAGGATGATTTGGTTACCATATAGAATATAATTTTCCATCCCTGCACTTTCATTCCATGTTTATCCTTAAATAAACATAATTTATTTGATTTTATATTTTTATTTTTATAAACAATTTATAAACAGAATTCATTCGATTTTATATTTTTATTTCTTCAGTGACCTTCTGTCTGTTATTGGAGAATTTAACATTGTTACATATAAGGTTATTATTTGCAGTTAAGGAGTTACTACTGCCATTTTGTTAATAGTATTGTGTTTCTTTTGTAGTTCTTTTGTTTATTTATTTTATTTCTTGCTGTATTCCTTTTTGTCTAATTTTTGTACTAATATGTTTTTATTTCTTTTTCTTTTGTATACATTCTACATGTATTATCTTTGTGATTACTATACAGGTGACATGAAACGTCTCAAAGTTATAACAATCTAGTTTAATCTGATGTTATCTCAGTAGCATATAAAAACTCCAGTCTTTTACATGACTGTCTTTCCCAACACTCATGTTGTTCTTGATGTCACAAATTAGGCCTTTTTACATGATGTATTCTTTAACATACATATAAAATATTTTTGTATATTGGTGTCAAATACTATAAGGGGATTGAAATTACTTACCAACATCACAATAATACAGGATGCTATATTTCTCTATATATTTGCTTTACAACAGAGCTTTATAGTATTCTATGGCTTTTTTGGTACTCTCATTTTTTAATCTCAAAGGACTTTCTAGCATTTCTTGAAGAACAAACCTAGCGGTCATAAACTCCTTCATAGTGGTCATAATAAAGGGTATTCAGTTAGGGAAAGAAGAAGTCAAATTGTCCCTATTTGCAGATGACATGATTGTATATCTAGAAAACCCCATCGTCTCAGCCCAAAATCTCCTTAAGCTGATAAGCAACTTCAGCAATGTCTCAGGATACAAAATCAATGTACAAAAATCACAAGCATTCTTGTACACCAACAACAGGCACACAGCCAAATCATGAGTGAATTCCCATTCACAATTGCTTCAGAGAGAATAAAATACCTAGGAATCCAACTTACAAGGGATGTGAAGGACCTCTTCAAGGAGAACTACAAATCACTGCTCAATGAAATAAAAGAGGATACAAACAAATGGAAGAACATTCCATGCTCATGGGTAGGAAGAATCAATATCATGAAAATGGCCATACTGCCCAAGGTAATTGATAGATTCAATGTCATCCCCATCAAGCTACCAATGACTTTCTTCACAGAATTGGAAAAAAACTACTTTAAAGTTCATATGGAACAAAAAAGGGCCCACATTGCCAAGTCGATCGTAAGCCAAAAGAACAAAGCTGGAGGCATCATGCTACCTGACTTCAAACTATACTACAAGGCTACAGTAACCAAAACAGCATGGTACTGGTACCAAAACAGAGATGTAGACCAATGGAACAGAACAGAGCCCTCAGAAATAATGCTGCATATCTACAACTATCTGATCTTTGACAAACCTGACAAAAACAAAAAATGGGGAAAGGATTCCCTACATAATAAATGATGCTGGGAAAACTGGCTAGCCATATGTAGAAAGCTGAAACTGGATCGCTTCCTTACACCTTATACACAAATTAATTCAAGATGGATTAAAGACTTAAATGTTAGATCTAAAACCATAAAAACCCTAGAAGAAAACCTAGGCAATACCATTCAGGACATAGGCATCGGCAAGGACTTCGTGTCTAAAACACCAAAAGCAATGGCAACAAAAGCCAAAATTGACAAATGGGATCTAATTAAACTAAAGAGCTTCTGCACAGCAAAAGAAACTACCATCAGAGTGAATAGGCAACCTACAGAATGGGGGAAAAATTTTCCAATCTACTCATCTGACAAAGGGCTAATATCCAGAGTCTGCAATGAACCCAAACAAATTTACAAGAAAAACCCAAACAACCCCATCAAAAACTGGGTGAAGGATATGAACAGACACTGCTCAAAAGAAGACATTTATGCAGCCAAAAGACACATGAAAAAATGTTCATCATCACTGGCCATCAGAGAAATGCAAATCAAAGCCACAATGAGATACCATCTCATACCAGTTAGAATGACGATCACTAAAAAGTCAGGAAACAACATGTGCTGGAGAGGATGTAGAGAAATAGGAACACTTTTACACTGTTGGTAGGACTGTAAACTAGTTCAACCATTGTGGAAGTCAGTGTGGCAATTCCTCAGGGATCTAGAACTAGAAATACCGTTTGACCCAGCCATCCCATTACTGGGTATATACCCAAAGGACTATAAATCATGCTGCTATAAAGACACATGCACACGTATGTTTATTGCAGCACTATTCACAATAGCAAAGACTGGGAACCAACACAAATGTCCAACAATGATAGACTGGATTAAGAAAATGTGGCACATATACACCATGGAATACTATGCAGCCATAAAAAATGATGAGTTCATGTCCTTTGCAGGGACATGCAGGAAGCTGGAAACCATCATTCTCAGCAAACTATCACAAAGACAAAAAACCAAACACCCGCATGTTCTCACTTATAGGTGGGAATTGAACAATGAGAACACGTGGACACAGGAAGGGGAACATCACACACCAGGGACGGTTGAGGGGTGGGGGGATGGGGGAGGGATAGCATTAGGAGATATACCTGATGCTAAATGACTAGTTAATGGGTGCAGCACACCAACATGTCACGTGTATACATATGTAACAAACCTGCACGTTGTGCACATGTACTCTATAACTTAAAAGTATAATAAAAAAAAGAAACAAGCAAAACAACTAATAAAAACTCTATACTGCCATTCTTTTCAACTTTTTGTTGTTTCTCTTCATTCCCTATTTTACAGTCTATGTATTGGAAATAAATACATTGTAGTTATTATTTTTATTGGTTTATTGTTTACTCTTTCTATTTGAGATTTTTGCACCCCATAATTACCATATTATAATATTCAGTGTTTTTCCATGTGCTATTGCTAGTGAGTTGTGTACCTTCAGATGATTTCTTATTGCTCACTAACTTGTTTTCTTTTAGATTAAGATATCCCTTAAGCATTTCTTGTAGGACAGGTCTGGTGTTAATGAAATCCCTCAGTTTTTGTTTGTTGGAAAAAGTTCTTATTTTTCCGTCAAGTTTAAAGGACGTTTTTGCCAGATACATTATTCTAAAGTAAAAGTCTTTTTTTCCTTCAGTTTTTTAATATGTCATGCCAATCTCACAGCCTGTAAATTTTCCCCTGAAAAGTCTGCTGTCAGATGTATTGGAGTTCCGCTGAATGTTATTTGTTTCTCTTCTCTCGATGCTTTTAGAATCATTTCTTTATCCTTAACCTTTGGGAGTTCAGTTTAGTGCCTTGAGGTGGTCTTCTTTGGGTTAAATCTGCTTTATATTCTGTAACTTTCTGTTACCCGAATGTTGATATCAAATGTTGAGGAATTGTTTAATATTATTTAATATTATTTATTTAAATAAATATTCAACTCATCTCTTTTTCTACCTCCTCTTTAAGGCCAATAACTCTTAGATTTGCTATTTTGAGGCTATTTTTAAAATTCTATAGGCATGCTTTATTTTTTATTCCTTTTTGTCTCCTCTGACTTTGTATTTTTAAATAGTCTGGCTTCAAGTTCACTAAATCTATCTTCTCCATGGTCAATTCTTTTAAGTAATTCTGATCCATTCTTCAGTATGACAATAGCATTTTAACCTCAGAATTTCTACTTTATTCTTTTTATTTCAATCTCATTGTTAAATTTATCTGATAGAATTTTGAATTCCTTCTCTGTGTTACATTGTACATTTCTTTGAATTACCTCAACCAGTTATTTTGGATTTCCTGTATGAAAGGTCACATATCTTTGTTTTTCCAGGATTTGTCCCTGGTACTTTATTTAGCTTGTTTGGTGAGGTCATGTTTTCCTGGATGGCCTTGATACTTGTAGATATTCATCTGTATCTGGGCATTGAAGAATTCAATCTTTATTGTAGTCTTCACAGTCTGGGCTTGCTAGTGCCCATTATCTTTGGGAACACTTTCCAGGTATTCAAAGAAACTTGGGTCCCAAACCCAATAGCACAGTAGTTTATGCAAACACGTAGAGGTAGTGCCTTGGTGGCCTTGGATTAACATCAAGAAAAATTCTCTTGATTTATCAAGTAGAGACTCTTGTTCTCTTCCCTTACTTTCTCTCAAATCAGCAGTCTCTCTTTCTGTGCTGAGACATGTGGAGCTGGGGTTGGGGTAACAGAAGAACTCCTGTGGCAGCCACCACTGAGACTGTGCTGGCTCACACCTGAAGTAGGCACAGAACTTGGTCTCACCCAAGGCCCACTGCAACCACTACTTGGCTACCATATAAGTTTATTCAAAGCCCCAGGACTCTGTGATTAATAGTTGGCAATGCCAGCCAGGTTTGTGTCTCTGCCTATAGGGTTGAAAGTTCCCCTAGCCATGAGTGGGTCCACAGATGCTACCTGGGAGCCAGAGATTAAAGCATAGAATCTTCAAAATTTAGCTGCTCTTCTATTTTATTGTAGCTAACCTGGCACTTAGGGAATAAGACAAAGTATTTTCTACTCTTCTTTCCCCTCTCTGCAGGCAGAAGAGCTTCTTCTATGACTGCCCACACTACTGGCCCATGGGGGGTTTCCACCAAATCATCATCACTTTCTCACTTAAAGCCCAAGGACTCTTTAGTTAGCTTGTGATAAATTCTGCAATGCCTGGGACTCGACCTTTGGCCCAGGGCAAGTGCAGAAATGCTGACCAAGAAGACCCTAGGCCTGGACTCAAGGACTCTAAGAATCTGCTTGGTGATCTACCCCACTGTGGTTGAGCTGGTATACCAGGTGCAATGTAGAGTTCCCTTTACTTTCCCCCCTGCCTTTCTCAAACAGAAGTCTTTCACCATAGCTACCACAGCTAGAAATGTACTGGGTCACACCTGAACTTAGCACTTCTCAGATCCCAATGCCCATGGTGTATTACCTGGTTGTCACTGTTTTTTATTCTGGGTACAGGGGTTCTTTAGTCAGCAGGTGATGAATTCTGCCAGGTCTTTACTGACATAGCAGCACTGAGTTTGATGTAAAGTCCTCCAGTCACTGTGCTCTCCCTCTCCCAAATTCACAGGTTTCTGTGTGTTGTGTGGCTGCTGCTAGGTGGGGGGTGGGGGAGTGGTGTTGTGAGCACTCCCTTAGTTGCTCTGGCTGCTGTCTTGGTAGACCCCATACTCCCCACCCTCCACATTCCACTGGCTCTGAGCCCAGCTTGGAATAAGACTTGCCTAATAATTGAAGTCCTTGTGGCCTAGACTGCCCCTTAAGTTCTCTTAGAGTCCAATAGCACGTCAACTCATGATGGCAAGACTTGTAAAAACTCAAGCTCCCAACACTAGGATGGGAGGTTTTCCTCTTTCTAGGGCCAATACACATGCTCCTTCCATTGGCAGATGTCAGCTGAGTACAGTCTGGTTCTGCTTTTCACTGTGACAGGGTAGTACTGAGTTTATTGCAAAGCCTCACAAACTATGCGCTCCCTCTCCCAAACATACTATCTCTGCACGATGTAGCCACTAGTGGTGGTTGAAAAAGAGGTGGCATCCATGCTTCTAAACCGTCTTTTATTTTTTTGTCTTCTCCAATGTCTGTTTCAGTGATATGAAGTTAATACCAGGTACTGTGATTGCTCACCCAATTTTTGGTCCCTTTGACAGTGCTTCTTGAATGTAGTTAGTTGTGAAAATTTGGTGTTTTCGTGTGGTGGATGAGAATGTAGGCTTCTATTCTGCCCTCTTACTCTGTCTCTGCCTTAAATTTTTTAGATTCAGGGAGTATATTTGCAGGTTTATTACATGGATATATTGTGTGATGCTGAGCAATGTGGGATATTATTGATCCCATCACCAAGGTAGTGAGCATATATTGTGGGATATAATTGATCCCATCACCTAGGCAGTAAGCATAGCACCTATGGTTTTTCACCCTCTGCCCTCCTCCTTCCCTCATTCACCTGGTAGTTCTCAGTGTCTATTGTTGTCATCTTTATATTCATGAGTACCCCATGTTTAGATCCTACTTATAGGCAAGAACATATGGTATTTGGTTTTCTGTTCCTGTATTAATTTCCTTATGATAATGGCCTCCAGACGTATGCATGTTACTGCACAGGACATAATTGTATTCTTTTTAATGTGTGCATAGTGTTTTATGGCGTATATGTGGCACATATTTCTATCCAATTTATTGATTCACACATAAGTTAATTCCATGCCTTCCCTATTGTGAATAGAATATGACTCATATACAAGTGCATGTGGGGTTTCTTTTTTGTGGAATTCTTAATTTTCTTTTGGATATATACTCAGTAATGGAATTGCTGGTTGAATGGCACTTCTGTTTTAAATTCTTTGAAAAATCTCCAAACTGCTTTTCACAGTGGCTGAACTAATTTACATTCTCACCAACAGTGTATAAGCATTTCATTTTCTCTGAAGTCTAACCAGAATTTGTCATTTTTTTACTTTTTAATAGTAGCCATTCTGACTAATATGAGATGGTATCTCTCATTGACTTGCATTTCTCTGATGATTAGTGATGTTGGACATTAGGAAAACAACCCCATTAAAACATTGACAAGGGACATAAGCAGACACTTCTCAAAAGAAGACGAGCCAGGCACAGTGGCTCACGCCTGTAATCCCAGCACTTTGGGAGGCCAGGGTGGGGGGATCACAGGGTCAGGAGATCGAGACCATCCTGGCTAACACGGTGAAACCCTGTCTCTACAAAAAATACAAAAAATTAGCCGGGCGTGGTGGTGGGCGCCTGTAGTCCCAGCTACTCGGGAGGCTGAGGCAGGAGAATGGCATCTACCCGGGAGGCAGAGCTTGCAGTGAGCCAAGATTGCACCACTGCACTCCAGCCTGGGCGACAGAGCGAGACTCCGTCTCAAAAAAAAAAAAAAAAAAAAAAAGATACAGAAGTGGGATTCTTATTCTATCACATTAAGCTGCCTTTCCTTTGCAAATACAAAATCAAACCATTCGAAAAATCACTTTAATTGTAGAGATTGACAGTATCTTTCCCCTTCCCTATCTCCTTTCCTCTTTTGTGATTTTTTTTTTCTGATCACTATGAATCCACTCCACAGAGTAACCTCCTTTCTTAATCTGTGTGAATTGTGGTGATGAGCTAGTCAGCTCTCTTAAAACCACTAACAAAAAAGTTTTAAATTTCCTAGTTAGTAATACATTTTTAGCATGCCACAAGATACTCTTAGAACAAGGACTTCTGGTCCAGGCATTATGGATTATGATGATTAGTTCTCTGGATTTCTATAAGCTTTGAAATTATGAGGTAAAAATCTAAAATAAGTCGGACTTCATGCTATTTATACATTTATTGGGTTTGTTAATTATTCCATAGGAAAACAGATGAAAGACTTTTGTAGAATTCAATTCTGCTTCACCATACTTAGGGTTACAAGAAGGCAATTATATTGATGTAGTTGACAGACTGAATTAACCTCAGTCATCACATGTGATTTTTCTAGAGTTTTTTTAATGGTGTTGACATTCTCTTCAATATGTCCATGCTTAGCTTGGGTTTCTGGGGGACAGATGAGTAGCTAGTACTACCCATCTAAAACATAATGTTCACTAGTTGGAATAATGGTGTGATATGATAGTCTTCAAGATGATGCCCTCAATTTCTTTCCTCCCTGCATGCACATGCTGCTGTTTACATTGACAGGTAGAGTCGAATCTCCCATTTCTTGAATCTGTGCTGGTCACAATGACTTGCTTTTCCAATAGGATGCAGCAGAAGTCGTATTCTAGGACCTCCAAGGCTAGGCCCTAAGAAGCTTTGTAGTATTTGCCTGTGTGTCTTGGGACAAACTACCACGTTGTGAGCACTCCAGGTAACATGGAGAGGTCAGATAGGCATCACACTCAGCAGCCAATATGCACTGCCAGCCATGTAAGTGACCCGTTTAGACTCTTTAGCCTAATTGAGCTTTCAGGTGACTTCAGCAGCAGCCAACCAACCGCAACTGCAAGAAAGACTCCAAAAGAGAACTTTTGTAGTGCCCATCAACCCACAAAACCATGAGAAATAACGTTATTAAAATTACTAAACAAATAATAACAATAAACAATATTAAACAATAAATAATTCCGTAAGTTTTGGAATGGCTTACTATTCAGCAAGAGATGGCTAGAAGAAATACTAAATATTGCACAATACTGAATAAGTATAAGTTTATTTGTATAATATACTTCTATATTTCAAAACCATTGACATTTCTGGAAAGAGTGCAAAAGTGAGCACTGATTAAATGGTTCCCAAGAGAAGTTGTCTGTTGTGTCTCAATAGCATCATTTACCAATGGGAGCTGTATTTTGTTTTTGGAAAATATACATTTTAATGTTCATTTTGAAAAATATACTAACCATTGTTTAGAAAGGCATATGCTATTTTGAAAAAAATTTGAGCGAACCAGAGAAGTGTAAACTTTAAGGCTCTAATCATATTTATATGCTATTTAACCCATAAGTCCAAAGTCTGATGACAAATATGTTTATGTAATACTGATATTTGGATAAATAAGTTAAACTAACAGCTTTCTTTTTAAATGATAGGCTTATAATTGGTATGATGTTGAGATGGCTGCAGTGGATGGGCTCATCACCAGAATAAAATTTTCTCTTTAATACTTTTTTAGAACATTAAGTGAGAACCAGAGAGTCTAAAACTGGGTTACACAGCAGCAATAAAATCAGAGTGACACTTACTTTGCAGCAGCAGGACTGGAATTCTTGCTGTTGGGGTTGGTGGCAGCAAACTCAATTATGGGTGTCTCCTGCTTCATGCTTAGATGATGTGTTGGAATATTTCCTGTTTAGAACTCTCTAACACTTCCTGACTAGAGCTGTTTAAAATAGAAACAAACTCCTCTGATTTTGAATTTAGCCTATTTATTGTTACGATTTGTTCATATGTTTCTACTTTTTAGACTGTGGCTTTCTTGTAGACAGAAATTATATCTTATACCTCTTTTTCTTCAGCAGCAGTGTGCCTGGCACCTATTTGAATTGTCAGGTTCATTGAATGAGTAAAGCAAAATTATACTAGACTTAAACTATTAACTTTATCAATTCTACTCAGAAAATATATAGCTAAGTATGACGTATGAATCAATTTACTCACTTATTCAACAAACTTTTTTAAGTGACTACAATATGTTATGAGCTAGGAATATGACAGTAAACAAATCTCACCTTGTCTCAAACTTCAGTGGATCCAGGAGTCTCTAGAAGTTTAATTCTTGCTCAATCAGCAATTCCTTTTCACTGAAGACTTGACAAGAAGTTTTGAGAAGGCAAGAGTGTGTGAACTCAGCAGATGTTTGTGATGCACCTACCTACTGTGTGCCAGAAGCTGTAGTGTCACAGGCTCTGCCTGTGTCTCCTAGGAAAGGTGAAAACTAAGGACAATATTTTACACAACAAATAATGGCAAGTATGCCATGTGATGGAGAGGGAAAGTGCTGGCTCCCAAGAGTATAACAGGCACTGAGCCTAGCATGGGGTCCAGGCGTCTCTGGCATGGTGCCCTCCTAGGTCCTGGTTGTCCCTCCTTGTTGCTTCTGCTGTCTTCTTCAGTTACATCTGCTTCTATGCATTTCCTCATTTTACGGTATGTGGGATGCAGTCATCTCTGAACAGGAGTAGGCAACTGTGCACCTGTTACACCATGCTTGATGCTCTGCATTGACGTACACTGGGCCCAGGTTTTCCTGGTGGACTGCTTGGGCCATTCTTGTCACCTGGCTCTGAAGTCTTTGCTCACAGAGGTGCACTTGCCAGATGGGTAAGCCAGAGATCTGGGGTCCTCTGATGAGGCCACTCTCACCCTGCTTATATTCCCTGACATACATAACAGATGAAGCTCAGGTGGGCAATGCACCTCAGGCCACAGTGTGGACTGTTGTAACCAAGCGAGTTATAGAGGAATGCCACACTTTGAGACAAATTAAGGAGTCCTTTATTAGCCGGTAACCGAGAGGCATGTAATGCTCAAAATTCTCTTGGCCCCGAGGAAGGGGCTGGTTTTGTTTTTATACCGTGGTCTAAATAGGGGAGGGGGGAGTTTAGCTGAAACAAGTTTTACAGAAGCAGAGCTGGCAAATAGTTAAAATATTAATTGGTTACAATAGCAGTTACAAAACAAATAAACAGTTCCAGGTGCAGGGGCTTAAACTATCACAAAGAGAGAAATGCAGGGGTTTTGCGTGACATTCACCGAGTGCGTACCCAGGAGCAGCTGGTGCAGCTTGCCTCAATATCTTATCACTAAGTGCATTCCTGGACCTGCTTTGAGTCAGTTTACACTAGTTATGCAATTAAGGGTGGAAGGTAAAGGGGGCTGCACGTGAAGAAACTAAAATGGAGTCTGTCCGGCTCTCTCTCCGCTAGGAGAGAGTCACTCAGGTTAAAACAAGGTAGGGTATCACAGGACCATGTACAATTCTTCAAACTCCAGCTTCAACTCTCTTTCTTATTGCTCTCTTAGGACAGTATATTTAGATCAGAGTAAATGAAAGTAATGTTATTAGGAGATAAGATTAAAATTGATCCCATTTGTAAAAAGGGAAGTAGATTATTTGTGAACTGTAATACTTTTTTTTACTGAAGAATCACCTTAAAACTTGGAACCTGGATACAAGATAATTCCTTCATTCTGTAAAAGTTTAGTAGCAAACTATATGCCAGGACTGTGCTAGGTACTAGGGATACATAGTTGAATATATAGTACAAGATGCCTTGGAGTGTCAGATAGTTTCATATAAATGGCTCATGCAGTATATAGACAGTGTGGTAAAAAGAGACTACTGAGATGTGCAGAGGACAGACAATAAAGCGTCTTCGAATGGTAGATAAATGTGTTTGGACTTTTCACTCAGGGCTGTTGAAGTTTTTGAAGGTCAGTGGTCTCAGAGTTTTGGTGTTTTCAAGCCCTGCTAAGCACTTTCTTTCTAGCTGATGATTGGCCACCATTACTGATCATCTATTGGCTCTGTCTGATTCAGCAATCCCACCACTGAGTATTTATGCAAAGGAAAAGAAATCAATGTATCAGAAAGATAACTGTACTTGTGTATTTGTTGCAACACTATTCACAGTAGCACAGACATAAAATGAAACTAAATACCCATCAACAAATGATTGGAGAAAGAAAATGTAGAAAATATACACAATGAAATACCATTCAGGCATAAAAAACAATAGAATTATAACTTTTGCAGACACATGGATGGAACTGGAGGCCATTGTTGTAAGTGAAGCAAGCCAGACACAGAGTAAACATCATATTGTATCACTCATAAGCGGGTGCTAAAAGATGTGTAGATATTGACGTAGAGAGTGGAATGATAATGGAGACTCAGCAGGGTGAGGGGATGGAAGGGGTGAACAGTGAGAAATTACTTAATGGGTACAATGTGCATTATTCTGGTGATGGATACCTAAAAGCCCTGACTTCACCACTATGCCATCCATGCTTACAGCAAAATTACACTTGGAACCCATAAATTTATACACAAAAAGTCTTAGACCTCTCTCTCTTCTCTCATAAGACTCAGAGCTCAGTGATCCCCTTGGATCCCTCAGCCTGCTGAGTTTTGATTTTCCTACCTAAGGTGATTTTGGGCAGAGACAAGGGAGTGTTTCTGGAAGATGTTCTCAGGCACACGCTTCTAAAGAAACATTGGAGACTCTTCTAGTGGCCTTTATCTAGTCACTGCTTTAAGCAAGGAATAAAACATCTGTGGCTAAAATTTGTAAAACTGTGTTTCCCACCCACCCTTCAGACCTGACAGAAGAGATTTTAGGATTTTAAGGGAACAGCTTTTTCCTGACCTAAAAGGGCACAGTAGTGTAAAGGCCAATGTCAGGTAAGTACCTGTTCCCCATCTGTAAAATAACTTTCAGATACTATTCCCACAGCTGGAATCAGTACAGTGTTTTGACTGAGGTATTGGAAAAGCCTATGAGCTCATTATCATTTGAACATATGAGTAATGTAAAATTTAGGCAGAATTTTATTTGAAAGGATTATTTATGCAATTTTTAATTAACTGATTTATATTGCGGTTATTTCACACAATAAAAATCAGGTCGTTGTGTTGTAAGCTAGAAATATTTACAATAACACATGGTCTTGATTATCTCACATGATGAAGACTAAAGCAAAATAATTTATCTTGGGGAATTCTGTGACAGTTTCTCTTTCACTTTGCTTTAATAATGACTTCAAACTGTTGTACATATATAGAGAACTCCTGACTAAAGAGAATATTTTGTCTATTGTGCTATGTTTCTGTAACTTTTTAAGATCTAGAGGAACATATATTTAGTCTCAGTTGGCCAACTAAATGTTATGGAGTCAGCTTCTGTGTTATGTGCTGAGCATTGAAGGAATGGTGGAGACAAGGCTGCTGCCCTCACAGAGTCTGCGGAGAAAACCTGATGGAGTGTGGCAGGGAACATGCTGGGAGCATCCCAGGGTGCCAAAAGCGCACACAGATGGAACACCTGCCTTAGAACAGGGGTGAGTCAGACAAGGAGAGGTGTCAGGAAAAACAAGGAAAGTTTAAAATGCAGGAATAGAAACGCACTTGAGAAATCCATGGGGAATGAAAAGAGAATGGCTGAGCAGCAGCAGATTGTCAAGAAGGAAATCAAGAAGGATCAGCCAAAGAGGTTGATGGAGAACCAGGAGAAAGAAGGTGACACTGAAGCCAAGGGAAGGAAAGTGTTTCAGCATTTCTGGGAAAAAATGACATGTTCTGTCTTAACCTTGCTGTTTTATGAGTCATATAGCGACATTCCAGGTTCTGAGAAGTCCAGCACTAAAGATGTTTCTTTTAGTTTGCTTAACCCAGCATTTGCCAGAATAATCTGGGCTTAGTGTGAGTGTGTGTGTGTGTGTGTGTGCCTGTGTGTTCTACTAATATCTCACTGAGGCTAGTGCTCTATACAACATAATTTTTAAAACACTGGTCTTATCCATCTTTTTGTTCAGCTGCAGCAACACTTACAAAGGTCAACTTTGATCATGTGTCTTCGTTACTAAAAGAAACAAAACAAACTAATGAATAAAGCCCACCTGGCAGTGACTCCTCACTACCTGTATGATGGAGCCCACCTGGCTTGGCCTGGGTGCCCTGTGCTGACCTGGCCGTGCTGTCTTCTGCCTGCTGCTTTGCCTCCCCTTTCCTCCTGGAGAAGGTAGAGATGCTCTGAGCTTTGGCTCATCTGGAACATGTGTCCTTCCCCTCATGTGGCCCATGTTTTCCTGAGTCCACTTTAATCTCGTTTAAGGGTATAGAACTTTCCTTAAAGCTTTTGGTCAGGTCTCACTCTCTATGCTGTCTTCCTGCCACTTCTACAATGTACATACTTTACTGATACATTAATTATGCTATACCAGCCCAGGTTTTTACTTCTATATCATTTTATATCATCATCTTTTTTTCTTAGAGCTTAGTTCACTTATTTATTCAGTCTTTCCACAATATAATTGTATGTCATATAATTTCATATTGATTTTCATTGGTGTTTATATATCTTTTCTGCAAAAATGGAGGCTTTCTAAATAGATCTTCATTAATGTTGAAAGAACAAGGTTTTAAGTCTTGGTCTCAGCCAAAAGGAGTTCCCCGCATTACCAGGAGGGAAAGAAACACTTGAATTGTTGCATTAGATATTCTTACAGAGAAAGAGAACCAAGTGTAATGGAAAATTGCTAACTTGGCCTCAGGGAGTCCAGGTTGATTCACTGAGAAAGTTTGAATTGGTTTAGAAAGCATAGTTCTGAGTTTTCTAGAAGAACAAAATTTAGAGTAGGGCATAAGAAGTAATGCCCATATCAAAAAATTAGAAATATCTCAAATTAACAACCTAACATCACAACTGAAAGAATTAGAGAAGCAAGGAGAACTCAACCACAAAGCTTATAGAAGACAAGAAATAACTAAAATCAGAGCTGAATTGAAAGAAATTGAGACATGAAAAACTGTTCAAAAGATCACTTAATCAAGGTTTTTTGAAAAAATTACTAAGATAGGGCACTAGCTAGATTAATAAAGAAGATGAGAGAAGATTCAAATAAAGAAAATTAGAAATGATGAAGGGAATGTTACCACTGACCCCAGAGAAAAAAAAATAACAACCAGTAACTACTACGAGCACCTCTATACACACAAACTAGAAACCCTAGAAGAGATTAATAAATTCCTGGACACATATACTCTCTCAAGACTGAACCAGGAAGAAATTCAGTCTCTGAGCAGACCAATTATGAGCTCCAAAAATTGAATCCGTAATAAATAGCCTACCAACCCCCAAAAAGCCCAGGACCTGATAGATTAACAAATTTTAACAGATGTACAAAGAAGAGCCAGTACCAGTCCTACTGAAACTATTTCAAGAAATAGAGGAGGAGGGACTCTTCCCCATCTTGTTCTATGAGGCCAGAATCATCCTGATACCAAAGCCTGGCAGTGACAAAACAAAAAAAGAAAACTTCAGGCCAGTATCCTTGATGAACATCCATTCAATGATCCACAACAAAATACTTGCAAACTGAATCTAGCAACACATCAAAAGGCTAATTCACCATAGTGAAATAAGCTTCTTCCCTGGAATAGAAGGGTGGTCCATCATGGGCAAATCAATAAAATGTGATTCATAACATAAATAAAACTAAAGATAATAACCACGTGATTGTCTCAACAGATGCAGAAAAGACTTTCAGTAAAATTCAACAAAGCTTCAAGTTAAAAATTCTCAATAAATGAGGTATCAAAGGAACATACCTCAAAATAATAAAGGCCACCTATGACAAACTCACAGCCAACATTATACTAAATGGGCAAAATCTTGAAGCATCCTCCTTGAAACCCGCACAAGACAAGCATGCCCTCTCTCACCACTCCTATTCAACATAGTATTAGAAGTCCTTTCTGGAGCAATCAGACAAGAGAAAGAAATAAAGCGTATTTAAATAGAAAGAGAAGTCCAACTACCTCTGTTTGCAGACAACATAATTCTGTATCTAAACCCTATAGTTGTGACCCAAAACTCCTTAAGCTGATAAACAACTTCCACAAAGTTTCAGGACACAAAATCAATGTACGAAATTTGCTAGCATTCCTATACACCAAGAAGAGCCAAACTAAGAGCCAAATCAGAGAGGCAATTTTATTCACAATTTCCACAAAAAGAATAAAGTACATACAAATACAGCTAACCAGGGAGGTGAAAAATCTCTACAATGAAAATTACAAAACACTGCTCAAAGAAGTCAGAGAAGACACAAATAAATGAAAAATCATTCCATCTTAATGGAGAGAAAGAATTAATATCATTTAAATGGTTGTACTGTCCAAAGCTATTCCTATTAAACTACCAATGACATGCTTCACAGAAGTAGAAAAAAGCTATTTAAAAATTCATATAGAACCAAGAAAGAACCTAAGTAGCCAAGGCAATCCTAAGCAAAAAGAACAAAGCTTGAGGCATCACATTACCCGACTTCAAACTAACCTACAGCACCATAGTAACCAAAACAGCATGGTACTAGTACAAAAACAGACACATACACCAGTGGAACAGAATAGAGAGGTTAGAAGTAAGACCACATACCTACAACTAGGTAATCTTTCACAAAGCTGGCAAAAACAATCAATGGGGAAAAGATTCCCTATTCAATAAATGGTGCTGGGATAACTGGCTAGCCATATGCAGAAGATTGAAGTTGGACTTCTTCCTTATACCATATACAAAAATCAACTCAAGGTGGATTAAATACTTAAATGTAAAACCCAAAACTATAAAAGCTCTGGAAGACAACCTAGACAATACCATCCTGGACATAGAAAGAGGCAAAGATTTCATGATAAAGACACCAAAAACAACAAATACAACTATTGACAAGTGGGATCTAATTAAACTTAAAAGCTTCTGCTCAGCAAAAGAAATTATCAATAGAGTGAACAACCTATAGAATGAGGAAAAAATATTTACAAACTATGTATCTGACAAAGATCTAATATTCAATATGAGGAACTTAAATTTACAAGAGAAAAACAAAAAACCCTATTAAAAAGTGGCCAAAGCCCTGACTTCTGAATAGCACTTCTGGACCCAGCCAGGGACTGAGGGATCTCACTGCCCTAAAGGAAAGAACACAGGCCTGTCTGGCTTTGCCACCTGCTAATTGTAGAGACCAAAGGCCTTGAGTGAACATAGGGAGTCGTCAGAAATTGCATGCAGCAGGACTTGAGCAAGACCTGTGCTGTGCTAGCTTCAGGTCTGATCCAGGGCAGTCATAGTGGTGGTGGCCAGAGGTGCTTGTGTCTTTCTTCTCCCAGCTTTAGGTGGCTTAGAACAGAGAGAAAGACTCTGTATCTTTGAGAGAAAATAAGGGTAGGGAAAGAGTCTGTGGCTAGTAATCCAGAAAATTCTCCTGGATCTTGTTGAAGGCTGTCAAGGTGGTACTTCTCTGAGTCTGGAAGAATTACAGCATTATTGGGTATAAGGTGCTCCATAAAGCAGATATGGCTTAGATCACAACACCCAACTCTTTTCAAATATGTGAAAAGCCTTCCCAAGAAAGATAGCTACAAATAATCCCAGACAGTGAAGACTACAATAAATACTCACCTTTTCTCTCTTTAAATTTTATTTTTTAAACTTCTCATATGGTGCTGCATGCCCAAGATTTTAATGTCCAGACACTGAAGAACATCTACTAGCATCAACACCATCCAGGAAAACATGACCTCACCAAGTGAACTAAATAAGGCACTGGGGACAAATCCTGGAGAAAAAGAGATATGTGATGTTTCAGACAGAGAATTCAAAATAGCTGTATTTAAAAAAAAAAAACTGAAAGAAATTTAAGATAACAAAGTAAGGAAATTCCAAATTTTATCAGCTAAACTCAACAAAGAGATTGAAATAGTTACAGTAAATTAAGCAGACATTCTGAGCTGAAAAATGCAATTGGCATGCTGAAGAATGCATTAGAGCCATGTAATAGCAGAATGGATCAAGCAGAAGAAATAGTGAGCTTGAAGACAGGCTCTTTGAAAATACATAGAAGAGACAAAAGAAAAAGAATAAAAACAACAAATCATGCCGACAGGATCTAGAAAATAGCCTCACAAAGACAGATCTAAGAGTTATTTGTTTTAAAGAAGATGTAAAGAAAGAGGCAGGGGAGGATCTAGAAAATAGCCTCACAAAGACAGATCTAAGAGTTATTGGTTTTAAAGAAGATGTAGAGAAAGAGGCAGGGGTAGAAAAATTTATTCAAAGGGATAATAACAGAGAACTTTCCAAACCTAGAGAAAGACATCCATATCCAACTACAAAAATGTTATAGAACATTAAGCAGATTTAACCCAAAAAACACTACTTCGAAGCATTCAATAGTCTTCCAAAAGTCAAAGATAAAAGTTCTTAAGCAAGAAAGAGAAAAGAAACAAATAACCTACTGGGGAGCTCCAACATGTCTGGCAGCAGACTTTACAGTGGAAACTCTACTGGCCGGGAGAGAGAAGCAATAAATATTTAAAGTACTAAAGGAAAGAAACTTTTACCTTAGAATAGAATATACAGTGAAAATGTTCTTCAAAAAAAAAGAATACTGACTTTTTCAGACAAACAAAAGCTGAAGTATTTTATGAATACCATACCTGTCCTAAAGGAATGCTAAAGGGAGTACTTCAATCAGGAAGAAAAGGACATTAATGAGTAATAAATGATCACCTAAAGGTAAAAAAAAATCCTCACTGCTAATAGGATACAAAACAAAACAGAATATTATAACACTATAGCTGTGTGGTGTGCAAACTACTCTTATTTAAAGTAGGAATACTAAGTAATATCCAATCAAAAGTAATAGCTACAACAACATTTCAAGACATAGCACAATAAAATATAAATAGAAACAACAAAAAGTTAAAAAGTTAAGGGATGAGCACGACCCGTCCTGAGCCGGCAGATGTGGTGGAAGCCCCGGAGCTCCGGAGCTCCCGGAAGGACTGGAGCGTGGGCGGAAAGGAGGCCGCCCCTAGAGCCGGAAGCCTGCGCAGGGGACAGAGGCCTCCGGCGGCGCCCCCCAACAACAGCAGGGCGGTGCCACATTGGTCCTGAGCCAGGCCTGGCCGCCGGAGACGGCGGGACTCTCTGGGAGGCCGGCGGTCCTCGGGTGTAGAGGGAGACAGCTGCCCGGGGGCACGGGCGAGCGCCTCTGGGGGTCCTGGATCCGAGACCCGCGGCCCCGGGGTGGCGATGACGCCTGGAGTCATGCGGGCTTGGCTGGGCCGGGCTCTTGGGGCAGCCAGGCGCCGCTGCTGGCGTCTAGGCCACACCACCCTGAACGCGCCCGGCTCGCCTCTGATCTGTTGAAGCTAAGCAGGGTCGGGACTGGTTAGTACTTGGATGGGATTCCGCCTGGTAATAGCGGTACCGTAGGCTTTTGGCTTCCCGCTCCCTCCTTCTTTCCCCCTTTTGTCTCCGTGCTTCCCAACTGCGCCCCGCCTCTGCTCCCCGTTGACCGCCCCCGTGCCCCAGCCGAAGCCCAGGACCTCCTCCTGAAGATCCGCCACTGCAGCACCGCCAGGCAGCAGCATCCCACCTCTTCCGACTCGCGGCAGCCCCACCCAACCCGGGCGGGACGGGACCGACCCCGAGGGTGCAGGCGCGGGTTCCCTGAGGTCCCGGGTCTCTTCACGCTCCCCGGACTCCCAGGCAATTGTATTCATTCATTCAGCGTCACTGCAACCGTCCAAGCCGGTGGGAGGGGCGAGCAGGGGCAGCGGGTGCCACAGACCCCAGCCAAGACCTCCGCTCCAGAACCCGAGGGCTGCTTTCCCCAGAGGAAGGACATTTTCTTCGCCAGCCACGAGGAAATCCGTCCCTGTGCACCCTGTTTCCCAATGCCACCGACTTCGTGTAAACTCCAGTCCGGAGGACAGGAGAGAGACCCAGGCCTCGCCCCGTGGACAGGCTCGGCGCCACGGCTCCTGCCAGACACACGAGCACACTCTACAAATCTCGGGGCCCACCGCATCAAGGAGACAGAAAGAAGCAAACAAAGGAAGGACCTTATGAAACGCACCCCCAAAGCAACCAACCAATCCAAGGAAAAAAACAAGTCTCAGGGCTCCATTGGTTTTCCTGGGTGGGGGGCCCTGACCCCCTGTTCTAGCCCGGCCCAAGAACCCTCCACCACACCCCGGCCTGCTGAAAGGTGCCCTGTCTACCTGAGCAGAGCCTCCCTCTCCAAGGCTCTGTCGCTGTCGCTCCACAACTCCCTCACCCTCTCCCTTTCTCTACTTCCCCCTCCACCTCGCGCTCTACTGTGGTGCTCTCTCTTCCCCCCTCTCTCTCTCCTCCCCCCTTTTCTGTCTCTCTCTCTCTCTCTCTATCGCTGTCTCTCTCTCTCCCTCTGGTTCTATTTCTCCATCCCTCTCTCCCTTGCTCTCCTTCTGCAGCAGGAGGAGCTGCAGACAGAACCCCTCAGACACCGAGTTGTAGAAGGAAGGGCTTTATTCAGCTGGGAGCATCCGCAGACTCACGTCTCCAAAAACCAAGCTCTCCGAGTGAGCAATTCCTGTCCCTCTTAAGGGCTTACAACTCTAAGGGGGTCCGCGTGAGAGGGTCTTGATGGATTGAGGAAGCAGAGGGTACGTGACTGGGGGCTGCATGCACAGGTAATTAGATCAGAACAAAACAGGACAGGGATTTTCACAGTGCTTTTCTATACAATGTCTGTAATCTATAGATAACATAACCGAGTAGGTCAGGGATCGATCTTTAACTACCAGGCCCAGGGTGTGGCGCGGGGCTGTCTGCCTGTGGATTTCATTTCTGCCTTTTAGATTTTACTTCTTCTTTCTTTGGAGGCAGAAATTGGGCATAAGACAATATGAGGGGAGGTCTCCCTTTGAGCTATCTGTGTCTGTGTCTTTGTGTGTCCGTGTGTGTGTGCCCGGGTGTGGTGTGTGTGTGTGTCTGCGCGCATGCACCCGTGTGTATCCGTGGGTGTGTCAGGGTGGGTTTGCTCGTGGTAGTGGTGGGGTGTGTCTGGGTGTCCGTCAGCCCCTCTTTCCCGGGATGAGGCTGCCGGGGCTCTAGTGCCAGGGCGGGGCAAAGCAGAGCCTTCTTGCCCCTTTGGCCATGGCGGGTCCTCCTCAGAACAAGCGACGATGGTGTGAGCATTGTGAGAAAAAGGGCCTGTGGGGCTGGGCCGGCTGTTCGCCCCTGGGCAGCCCTGGCGGCTCTGGGTGTGTGGGGCAAGAGGGGGCCTTGCAGGAGGGGCGGTGAGGAATCCAAAATAATTTTTCCGCGGCAAGGCGGAGGACCGGAGGGGACCCCAGGACCGTGGGCCCTGGGCCCTGACGCCTCGGAGCACACCCCGTCCTAAGCGGGCCCCAGGTGTTGGAAGCTCGGGAGCTCAAGAGCCTGGGGAAGGCCTGGAGTCCCAGCGAGAGGGTGGCCGCCTGGAGAGTCCAGAGCCCTGGCAGGGGATGGAGGTCTCTGGCGCCTGGGCTGTCTCGCGCATGGTCTGGCCGCCGGCGACATCGGGACGCTCTGGGAGGTCGGCGGAAAGCGCAGCGCGGCGATGGTGGTGCTTGGGCGTAGAGGGGGAGAGCAGCCCGGCCACAGGCAAGCGGCTCCGGGGTGCCTGATCCCAGCCTCGCGGCCCCCGGGTTGGTGGTGACGCCTGGAATCAGGCAGGCGTAGCTGGACTGGGCTCTTGGGCCAGCCAGGCGCCACTGCCATTGTCCACGGCCATACCACCTGGAAAATGAGAGAGACCCAAGCCGCGGCCCGTGGGCACGCTCAGCGCCACTGCTCCTGCCACAGTGAGGGGCGCACTCTACAACTTTCAGGGCCCACAGCACCAAGAGGACAGGGAGGAGCCAACAAAGGAATGACGCTACGAAAAGCACCCCCAAAGCAACCAACAAATCCAAGTAAAAACACGTCTCAGGGCTCCGTTGGTTTTCCCGCGTGGGCGGCCCTGCCCCCATGTTCCAGCCCAGCCCAGGCACCCTCCACCCTACCCTGGCCAAAGGGGCCCCTGTCTACCAGATAGAGCCTCCCTCTCCAAGGCTCTGTTGCTCTCCCTCTCTAGCTCCCTCACCCTTTCCCTTTCTCTACTTCCCTCTCCACCTTGCTCTCTCTCTCTCTCTCTCTCTCAATCTCCCCAGTTCCTCTCTGTCTCTCTCTCCATCGCTGTTTCTCTCCTTCCGTTTCTATTTCTCATCCCTCTGTCCCTTGCTCTCCTTCAAGTTGTCTGTGTCTTTGTGTGTCTGTGTGTGTGCTTGTGTTCCCGCGCGTGCGCCCGTGTGTGTCTGTGTGTTTGGGAGTGGGTTTGCTAGTGATTGTGGTGGGGTGTGTCTGGATGTCCATCAGTACCTTTGTCCCAGGATCAGGCTGCCAACTCTATTGCCAACGCCTGGGTGTCACAGTTGCCGTGATAGTCTCACACACGCAGTTGTGTTCATCTCGTTCGTTTTCACGTAGACAACGAGAGCGAAACCACAGAGAAAAGAAACATCCCGTGCATCACGGCCTGATGATGGATTCCTGTTTCCTGCAAAATGGGGAGTCTCCAATATAGCCTGTTTGAAAACTGGAAAGGAGAGCACCGACACGATGCTGGTCTTCCACGCATTCCTGGAAGTTTCTGGGGCCCCACAGAGCTCGCGAAACAGTCAACATGGTCACGCTTTCGGGGGGCAGAAACTTGAGCAACAGGCACCTTTACAGAGGGCAAAGAAACGTGGAATCCAGAATCACGCTTCAGTTGGCCTGAGTGTGACTCCTGTGTGGATGGGACTATCCGCCTCGAGCTCTGTTGCAGGGCTCAACGTGGGGATATGTCATCTGTGAACCATGTGGATGAAAAACAGACAACTACCTGGGTCTCGGCTCATTGCTCTCTGGGGAATTC